>NC_000002.12:17964300-18115815 GCF_000001405.40 Homo sapiens | reverse complement strand
CAAATTTTATGTCCTCACGTTTCAAAACCAATCATGCCTTCCCAACAGTCCCCCAAAGTCTTAACTCGTTTCAGCATTAACTCAAAAGTCCACAGTCCAAAGTCTCATCTTAGACAAGGCAACTCCTTTCCATCGATGAACCTGTAAAATCAAAAGCAAGTTAGTTACTTCCCAGATACAATACAGGTACAGGCATTGGGCAAATAAATCCGCTCCAGATAGGAAAATGGCCAAAACAAAGGAGCCATGCAAGTTTGAGATCCAATAGGGCAGTCATTAAAACTTAAAGTTCCAAAATGATCTCTTTTGACTCTATGTCTCACATCCAGAGCACGCTGATGCAAGAAGTAGGCTCCCATGGCCTTGGGCTTTGCAGGGTGCAGCCCCCCTCCTGGCTGCTCTCACAGCTGGCATTGAGTATCTGCAGGTTTTCCAGGTGCACAGTGCAAGCTGTCGGTGGATCTACCATTCTGGGGTCTGGAGGACAGTGGCCCTCTTCTCACAGCTCCATTAGGCAGTGACCCAGTAGGGACTCTGTATAGGGCTCCAACCCCACATTTCCCTTCCACACTGCCCTAGCAGAGGTTCTCCATGAGGGCCCTGCCCCTGCAGCAAAATTCTGCCTGGACATCCAGGTATTTGCATACATCCTCTGAAATCTAGGCAGAGGTTCCCAAACCTCAATTCTTGATTTCCATGCACCCACAGGCTCAATACCACATGGAAGTTGCCAAGACTTGGGGTTTACACCCTCTAAAGCAACAGCCCAAGCTGTACCTTGGCCCCTTTTAGCCATGGCTGGAGTGGCTGGGATGCAGGGTACGAAGTCCCTAAGCTGCACACAGCAGGGGGACCCTGGGCCTGGCCCATAAAACCAATGCTTGCTCCTAGGCCTCCAGACCTGTAATGGGAGGGGCTGCCAAGAAGGTTTCTGACAAGCCCTGGGGACATTTTCCCCATTGCCTTGGTGATTAACATTTGGCTCCTTATTACTTATGCAAATTTCTGTAGCCAGCTTGAATTTCTTCTCAGAAAATGGGGTTTTCTTTTCTATTGCATGGTCATGCTGCAAATTTTCCAAACTTTTATGCTCTGCTTCTTCTTGAACGATATGCTGCTTAGAAATTTCTTCCCGCAGATACCCTAAATCATCTCTCTCAAGTTCAAAGTTCCACAGATTTCTAGGGCAGAAGCAAAATGCTGCCAGTCTCTTTGCATCGCAAGAGTGACCTTTACTCTAGTTCCCAATAAGTTCCTCATCTCCATGTGAGACCACCTCAGCCTGGACCATATTGTCCATATCACTATCAGCATTTTGGTCAAAGCCATTCAACAAGTCTCTAGGAAGTTCCAAACTTTGCCACATCTTCCTGTCTTCTTCTGAGCCCTCCAAACTGTTCCAAACTATGCCTGTTATCCAGTTCCAAAGTCACTTCCACATTTTCAGCTATCTTTACAGCAGCACCCCACTGCTGGTACCAATTCACTGTATTAGCCACTTTTCACACTGCTGATAAAGACATACCCAAGACTGGATAATTTATAAAGAAAAAGAGGTTTAATGGACTCACAGTTCCATGTGGCTGGGAAGGCCGCACAATCATGGCGGAAGGCAAAAGGCATGTCTTACATGGAGGCAGGCAAGAGAGAAAATGAGAGCCAAGTGAAGAAGGAAACCCCTTATCAAACCATCAGATCTTGTGAGACTTATTCACTACCAGGAGAATAGTATGGGGGAAGCCACCCCCATGATTCAATTATCTCCCACCAGGTCCCTCCCACAACATGTGGGAATTATAGGAGCTACAATTCCAGATGAGATTTGGGTGGCAACACAGCCAAACCATGTCAGGAACATTGTGATCTTACTTTGGAGGACAAGAGGCTCCACCATCTGCCTTCTCCCCAGTAACATGCTAGTAGCTGACAGATGAAGCCAAAAGTGAATCATAAAAACAAGTGAGCATTTAGGTTGAGAATGGAGAAAGACGCTGGGTCCAGTAAACCAGAGAAGGGATATAAACATGTCTAAGAATAAAGGGTCCAAAGTTTTGTAACAGAGGCTAGGACAGAGAACCAGAGATGAGAGCTCCAAACAGAAGATGAACAGCAGCTGGTGGAGAGCAGACAGGAAGATGTCTGAGTGTCTTCTTAGGAGCAGCAGGTGTTACTACTTAGAGCTGCACATCACTGCCTGCAGTGGTTTGATTCTTGGAGTACTAAGTATACATACACAGCCAGAGAAACAAACAAATAAAAACAAACCAATGAGCACAAGGAATTTGTTGGGCATGCATTTGTCCATAACACTTTTTCAAAGCCCTTGCTTCAAAATTTTGCTTCTCCTTCAGTCTGAAATATTTCAGGCCTTTGTGGAAACCCTGGATGTTTAATGAGAATTGTTTTGGTTTCCTACACTGGCCATTGCTCTTGTTTCCTCCTTAAGTCATCCCCACCTGGCTTAGGAGCTCTTGCAGCAAAACTATTCCACCCACCACCCTTCCTCAACCATCCATAGACTCCTGTACAGTTCTTCCTTGCAGTTTTAGGAAAAGGTAGTTCCTGGTGTCCTGCCATTACCTCCAACGCTACTCCTGTCTTGATTCTTGATGATTTCAATATCCATATAGATGAACCTTCCTGTACTTAGGCCTTTCAGTTACTTGACATTATCTCCTCCAGCGATCTAAGCCCCAACTTCCTTAACTCTCTCCTGTGGCCGTACATTAGTCCTCATTAACACTGAAGGGAACTGACCCTCCCTCAATCTTAATTTTGGGCAGTTTCTCCCTGACCCATTTACATGTCTTTGTACCTCACTTTCTCTAATACTCCTCTGTTACTTATCACCACAATGCTGTGACCCAAAAAAGACCTAAAGTCTTCTGGTCTTTCCTTTGCTTGGTTATCCTTCCCCCCAGCACTCAGGTTGGGTACTATGGTTCATCATTGTTAAAATCTCTCCCTTGCCCCCTCTTTTCTGTTCAGTCCAACTTTGCTGCTGGCACTGTGGGGAGCCTGGGCCTCCACCCTCCTCTCTCCTGATACCTTGCCATGGTGAAGGAGGTAGTAGGATCACAAATAACTAATTCATGACCAACACTTTGTGCTGTCTGGCAGCCCTTCTATTTTCCAAGTCCACTTTTATATCCCCGCACTGCTGAAAAACTATTTTGGCTTCTCTCTCTTTGAACAACTCTAACAAGTCCTCTGACATACTCACTCGTGGCTGATTACTCTGCTTCTTAATTCACCGAGGAAAAAGAAGCAATCAGAAGAAATAGTTCACAAGATCCCATCATCACATCTTTCAAACTACCTGCATTTGTACCCATATACCCTGCCTTCCTTCTAGTTACTATAGATACATAGTTCATGCACTTCCTGAGGCAAAATATAAAATTTAAGGCAAATCCTGTGACTACTCTGCTCAAAATTCTTCAATAGCTTAATATCATCTCACTTAGGGCTCTTTAAAAAAAAAAAGCCAAAACCTTAATCATGATGTCCCCATTCTTCATCCCCCTCCCTACCTCTGCAGTCTCAATTGCCTTTACTCTTTCCATCCACAGGACCCACGGGCCTCATACTATTCCTGGAACTCTGCACACATACACCTATCTCAGGATATTTGCACTTGCTTCTTTGCTTAGAATGTTCATCCTCCTGATAGTCTAAAGTCTCCCTCTTTCACTTACTCCAGCTCTCTGTTCCAATGCTAACTTACTGAAGAGGCCTTTCCTAACCACCCTGCATTTTGCACCACATCAAACTTGGCAATTTCTAACCCGACCTCCCATCTTTATCTTCTCCATGGCACATGGTTTGTTGTTGTTGTTGCTCTTATGTTCTCACACTTAGGTGTAAACTCTTTGAAAACCAATTTTTTTGTTTACCGATGTTGACAAAAGTGCCTAGTATTGTGTCTGGCATTTGGTACTCAAGTACTATCTGTTGAACTAATAAATTAATCTGGTTTATAACTTTAGCTTTTCCGTAAGCTCTTTTTCCAATTAAGGGTGCTGCTTCTTAAGCAAAAATAAAGTCTAGAAACCACTGATCTAGTTTACAGAAGCTATTGCTTGGACAAATTTAGTCCATCACTTTGAAACATTTTGAAATAATAGCTCTATTTTAGGCATCTTGGACTCTAAACTTGGCAGTGACAGGATCACATTCCAAACAGAAGCCCTGATTTTCAGAAGTAAGCAATTGTTTCTCTCCCTTCACCATTTTGGTTTTCAAATTATCCTTTTCTGCAGCACAATCTGTAAGTTCCCACAGTGGGGCTGAGACACAATGATAAGGGCCTCCCCAAGTAGCATTGTCAACACGACAAGATTATAGGGTGGTATTTCTTACATCATGACTGGATGCACAAAATGAGCGCCTAAAATGAATGATTCTGGTGCTGGAGCCTATCATAAAGCACTTTCAGTATAGTCTCTGATTATTTTGAAGACAGACTGACTGTCCCTTTTTGATTCATCCTGCCAAAACCAGGGGAAAGCTGTTTTGAAATGATAAAGCCAGAGAGATGCATTAGCTACTTGTGGGGCCTTGTGTTATTTCTCCAAATAACCACTGACTTTATCATGCGTTCATTTCTACCTACTATATACTGTAAGCCGCATGAAAACAGAAACTTAATGGGTCTTGGCCACTGCTTGCTCACAAGCTTTTATAACAGTGCCTGGCATAGAGTCAGTACTCAAAATCAGTTGTTGAATGAGTCAATGTATATATAGAACCTATACACTTAATCTGCAAATATGTGCTCATTAGGGACAATGTATCATGCACAGGCAGACATGAAAAAGATACAATCCAGTGTTCAAGTGGGAGAGGCCAATAACATGGGCTCCCTAATGGGTAGAAACCAAACATGAATCTTATCCTTGGGGGCTCTAAATTAAATGTGGAGTGAAGACAGACATGCAGACAACTATAAAACAAAGCGGAATGCAATAGTAGCAAATGAAGTTACAAGACATGTGGGAACACAAAGGAAGGAACAATTAAGTATGACTTGGAAGAGATAGGCAGAGAAGGTGTCTGTGAAGGTGCAGTTGAAGCTAAGATTTCAAGGAAAAGGAAAGCAGAAGGAATAACAAAACGAACTGGGATGATCCTTACCTTTTGCCTTCCTCCAAAACAACAGGCTGAATGTCAAGGATTGTCTGCAATACAGGAGTATTTTTTAATCTAATCCATTGTGAACTGGTACTTTTAGTAATAGTCAAAATGTCAAGAGACAATGTCAGCCTGTTTGTTGTAAAAGGGTCTGAGTGCTTGCTGTCACTGTCTGCACTTATGTCACTGTGAACCAATCATACTTTGAGAGGCACTAATCTTGGAGCAAGTTGATGGTATCCAAGAAAAAGTTGGGCAGCATGCCTGAGAGATCTGGAAGCAAGTAAACATTTGTCAGATTTCAGCAGCAAGCACAAGGATGGGCCAGGCTCAGCGACGAATAGCCCAAGCTACCAAGCTGTAACCCTTACTCCTGTAGTGTTTAACGACCAGCAACTATAAACCTCTGTTACCATGGAAGTTGAGCTACCATAGAAATAGGGATTATGTGAGACCTTTAACACTGACATTCTATTAATTCAGTACTCTTCCAATAATTTGTTTTAAGAAAGTAGCAGAAGTGTTGAGCTTTGGATCTGTGCCTAAGTTGTAGAGCAGCTATTGCCAGGAGTCCTGTGATGGAGGAATATACGATGTTTCGTGTAGGAAATGTGAGGATCTCAAAGAAGGGGTGTAACTCCAGAGAAAGGGTTTTACTCACAGGAGGTGAGTACCCATACAGTAGAATTACTATTTTCAGCATTATTATTATCTTTTTCAGTTATTGAAATTTAAGTTTATATTTAAGTCAAATGAAATAGACCTGCCATGACTTTAGAAGCACAAGCACACACTGGCTGGTCTGGTCTGCCAGTTTTCTTTATACACCCACCATATCACATTTCCTAAGACTATAAGATGGAGAAATTTCATTAGCAGAGGTTTCAAGGGAAAGAACTCTTTCCCTTCAGAACTCTGATGGAGGTCAAAGGAGTAAGTCAAGGAGTAAACTCTGAACTCTTCTACTCAACACTGTAATAGAGGTCCTGGTCAGTGCCTGAATTTAACAAAAATAAATCAGGGTATAAAAATTGGAGTGTAAAGAATGAAACATATTAGGTACAGGTGATAGGATTTTCTATGTTAAAAATGAAAGATAATCTACATATTCATTATTTGAATTACTTAGAGACTTTAGCAAATTTTCTGGATACAAAATCAGTATGGGAATTCGCTATATTGCTACATGCCAACAATATCTAGAAATTTTAATTTCTAGAAATGAATACTTTTATACTAGGAAGAACAAAGAAAATCCTTTGAATAGGAATAAATCTTTTTAAAAAAGATATGCAAGATCTTTATGGAGAATATTATAAAATTCTATTGAAAGACTGTTGAAAATAAATGAAAGTTAAAAGAGAAATACAATGTTCTTGGAAAAGAAGACTCGATATTGTAAACTTGCCGATTCTTCCCAAATACATACAAAGATTGAATACAATTCCAGTGAAAATCCATACAGGATTTTGTGTGGAATTTGAAAAACTGACACTAATAGAAATAAGAAAGACACTCCTGAAGAATAAAGTAAATGACTTGCCCCACCAAATAGCAAGACTTGTTAAAAAAGAAATTAAGGAAGAAAGAAATAAGCTACAAGAATTAAGAAAAATTAGTACTGGTTTGGGATAGAATACAAAGTCATAAATTTATTTCATGACAAAGTTGCAGATCAGTGAACAAATGAGACATAGTTCAACAATAGATGCTGAAGTATTTAGTTATTGATATGGAAAAACAATAGAAATTTGATCCCTACCTCACACTACACCCAGAATCTGATCCAAGATAAGTAATTCCTTAATTGTAAAAGGTTTAGAAGATGTCAGAGAATTCTATCATAATCTTGTAGGAGAAAATAATTTTTAAGCAAAATTATACAAAACATAACAGAAAGATTGACTAAATTTGTCTAAGGTTAAAAACAAACTCCTATTCATCAAAGGACACTATAAAAGGAACAAAAAGACAAGCCTCAAACTAGAAGAAGATATAACTAACAAAGGTTAATATCCAGGCTGTATAAATAGCTCCACAGATTAATTAGACAAAGATTTTAAAACAATTAAAGAAAAGAACAAAAGACATGGAAAGGCATTTCACAGGAGACAAAACACAAATTGCCCACAAAAAATGAGAAGAGACCCTCAACCTCTCTGTTAATGAGGGAAAAGGCAACTGAAATCCCAACAAGATACTATTTCAAATCTAATAGATTTACAAAATTTTAAAGTTGGTCAAAAAGCTAGAATAATTTGAATAAGAAAATAAATAGTATTAGATTATAATCCACAATATAAAATAAATATCCATTAGTCCATTCTGATATAAATGATCAAATGAATTAATAAATACAGAGAAAAGATAATCTTCTATGTAGAAGAACTCCAAATAAATTATGAGGACAATCCACCTTAAAGGAAAGGGAGCAAAATTTCGCACTCCTTAACTGTGGGCTGCACATAGCAGCTTCCTTCCAAAGTGTGCAGTCTGGAATGGGGAGAAAAAAGAATAACTTGATAGTATAGAAATCTGACAAACACTACTTCAGATAGGTGATCAAAGTCAACATCAGCAGTCATAAATTATGTTGATAGTATGTGTTCTTAATATAATGTGATGAAAATGGCACTTTCCCTCTGTGATCCTCCCCTCAAAAACCTATGCCTCCAGTGTCATCATAAGAAAAACATTAGACAAATAAATAACTAATTTAAAAAATAGAAAAGCATCAGACAAATTCCAGCAGAGGGGCATTGTATAAATTACCTAACCAGCATGTCTGAAAACCATCAGCAAACTATAGCCTGCAGGTCAATTCCAGCCTGCCAATCTGCTTTTGTAAATAACATTTTACTGGAACACAGGCACGTCCATTCACTTGTACATTCTCTATGGCTGCTTTTGCTCCACAATGACAGAGGAGTGTACTCACAACAGAGACCACATGTCTTGCAAAGCCAAAAAAATATTTACTATCTGCTTCTTTATAAAAAAATTTTCCTGACCCCTTTCATCTTCAAAGCCATCAAGGACATGCATCCAATTTGTCCATCTTTTCCTTATGCCACATTTCTCTGACTCCAGCATGAGAAAACTTCTTGCTTTTAAAGGCTCATGTGATTATATAGGGCCCATATGGATAATACAGAATAGTCTCCCTATCTTAAAGCCTGTAACCTTAATTATATCTGCAACATCCCTTTTACTGTGTAATGGAACATATTCATTGGCTCCTGGGATTTGAGTATAAATCTTTGGTGCATCATCTTGCCCACCCTAGAAGCTTTCTTACTGAGAAAGTACTCACCTCGGACAAGCATGACAGGTATACTACATAGGAGCCGCTGCTGCCCTGTTGCAGACCCCTAGCCATGCAGACATGGCTGATTCATCGTGTCTCCTTCTTCCTCAATCTCACACAGCCTAGAATCCTTCACTCCAGGTAATAAGTACCAATTAAGTGAAACACATTTTATTATTCCTCCTTAGGGCACACCACAGGGTCGTAGAAAGCCACAGCCAGAATTTGAGAAATATCAACTTTTAGCTATGTGACCTTTATGCAAATCACTTAACAGTTCTTCCTCTGAACAATGGAGGTAATGTTATGTGTCTTAACCTTCTTCATGGGACTCTGAGATCATGAGACAGGGAAACGAAAAAGACTATTTATGGAGGCCTAGTGCAGGTCAGGCATTGTAGCAGATTTCTGACATTTATTTACTTGAATCCTAACACCAACCAGCCTTGTAGCATGGGCACTCCTGTGTCTACTTCACAAAAGAAGAAGATATAGCTCAAAGATATAAGTTAAGGAACTCAAGAAGAAACACAGCTAGTAAATGGCAGAGCAGGGATTCAATCTCTCATTTGACTCAAAGTGGGACCCCTTTCCAGGATGTGTCATTCCTCTGGAATGCATCACACATGAAAGAGACTGTGATAATAAAAAGCCTAGGGTCACCCTGCCTCACACAAAGTGGGGCCAGAAGTGCTGTATTTTCCCCCAATCTCTGTCACCTTCCCCAGTATCTTAGAACCAGGTTCCATGAAGCCCGTGGTAGTAGTATTTCAATCTCCTTGGTCATCACCGCCACCAAGGACAAACAGAGACAGTTCAGCAAATGTTCTGAACTCAGTTCACAATCAGTGGCAGAATGTCTGGCTGTTCAACACCAAGCTCCTCTCTGCTACTAAATTTTATTTAGTTAGATTTTTCTGGCCCTACCTTCTCTACCTCATCTCCACCCACTCAGACCACACTTGTCTCCCCTTAACACTCCTTCCTCACCTGCCTGGTCAGCCAGCTCTCCCACTCAATCCTGCAAACTCTTTCTTATCTCACTTTACAATGATAGGGACTACTACAATTATCACTGCTATGCCCACCATCATTTATTATGTGCTTATTATGCATATTATTGTCTTTAGTGTAATTTAAACCTCATAATAACTCTAGCACAGATGCTATATGCCCACTGTACAGATGAAGAAAGTGAAGAACAATAAACATAAATAACTTGTCCAAGGCCACACAGTTAAGAAATTGCTGAGTCAGAATTTAAGCCCTTATCCAAGGTCAGGAGTCCTCAGCTCAGACCTTTAGCAATTTTGCTTTTAAAAATAACATTTATCCAGCAAACTTTGATAACTTTTCATCGTTGGAAAGATTCAAATGAAGCCAAGGATTCCATAGTGCTAGCTAGACATGGGAAAGTGATTCCTGGATGGTTATGGATTTCATAGGATCCAGCAAAATCATGAATGGGCAAGATCTGTTTCATCTCTTGACTCTTCCTTTTCAGCCTCTTCTTTAGAGACCATGTAGCTCACTGGTCAATAGCAGGTCTCTGGGGTCCAACTAAACATGGCTGCAAATCCCTGTTCTACCACTAAGTGGTTTCCATCAAGTTTCTTCATTTCTCCATGTCCCAGAGTCTTCTTCTGTAAGACTGAGATAAATGTACACATACCTCACAGCAGCAGTTCTCAAAGTGTGGTCTTCAAGCAGGAGCATCAGCAGTACTTGGGACCTTGTTAGAAATGCAAATTCTCAAGCTCGCTCAAAGCCTACCAAATCAGAAACTCAGTGAATGGGTCCCAGCAACCTGCATTAGCAAGCACTCCAGGTGACTCTCATACATACTGAAGAATAAGAACTACAGCCTTATAGGACTATTTTGAGCATTAAATGAGGTTATATCTATAAAATGCTAAGCCTTGCACCCAAACCCAGAAACTCTGAGAGATCAGGGCACTTCTGATTCCTTTAAAAACAGAAGGCCAGTGAATTGATGAGTCACTAACACTTTAGTATGAACTAGTTTAAAGTATTTCCTAGGAAACGGTTGCACCTATAAAGCAGTGTGATTTAGTAGATGATTTTTTCCCTCCTTTTTTTTTTTAACAAAACACAAATGGCAGAATTGGGGCTCAAAGAGGTGAATATTTTCCCCAAGGTTATCTGGAGAGAAAAACAGAAATAGAATCCAGACTACTACTGACTCTGCACTTGCTTCATTTTCCAGCACCCACACTCCTGTTTAGCGTGAATTGTCAGCACCTAATGGGAGCAGACTTAATCAAGAGCTTATCAAGGCCCTCTCAGGGGCTCAGGCTATGCACAGGGGCCCAGGCTGCCTCTGTGCTGAGAATCTGAATCTCAGAAGCCTAGAGTCTCTTGCCTGGATAACTGGACTAATTGTTCTGCCCTACTTGACGAAGGCAAGAAAATGTGACCCTGATCTGCAAGAAGGCATTCATCTCTCATTCCTGCTAAAAATAAAAGAATCATTGTAACCAAAACTCACGCAAAGGCCGATTTAAACAGATCTAAGTAGGTCACTCACTGTAATGTGTTTACCATATTAGCCACCTAGTGTTTCAAAGGTGACAGAAAATACTTTCAGGTAAAATCAACAACCTGGTCTGTGGTTAGTCTGAACTGACAAAATGTCCCTGTTTCAGGAAGACCACGTGGTCAAAATACCTGTGCAACAGTGAACCTTAGGGTCATTGTAAAGTTGACATTTTTCCACCACATCAGGGACCAGGCAACACTCTAGATATAGGAGGTGGGGTCCCATGTGAAAGGTGGAATTAGCCACTGAGACAGTTACCACCTCTGACAATAGCTGTGAGAAAGGCCTGTGAGGACAGGAGTAGCGGGGCAGGCCAGAAAGGATAGAACCTTCCTTTAGCCTTGCCTACAAGCTCACCAAGGCATTTCAGGCAGGTCTTGGGCCCTATATCATGTGATTTATTCCACTTTATGCATCTTGTTATTTGTGTCTGTCTTTGGGCTATTTGGTGCAGTGTGGTCTTTTAAGAGTCCTAGCCCATCTCAACGGGCTGGAAAGAATCAAGAGGAGTACCTGGTGTCTACACTGGTTGCTTGGTATCCTAGAGGGCACCTGGAGGGGCCACAGGTGTCAGAGCAACCCTTAGGAGAGAGGAACCTCAGGAAGAAAGGGCCTTAGCTTTGAAGCTCTGAGTGGAATTTTATTTAGGGAAGTGGGCTCCTTATAACAGCGAAACCTCTAAATCTGGTGTGTAGGACAAATCTTAGCAGGTATATAAATTCCAATTCTTGAGTTTTTAAAAATATAATTTCCAAAAATATAGGCTAATTTCTTTGCACACTGTCCCAAGATGACTAATAAGAGGAGATGCCCTCCTTAAATCTGTCATCCTTGGGAAGCACCCAGGTTGATGGCAAGTACTGTTCGACAGGTGGAAAAATTTCCACACCAGGGTCTATCTATCTAGAAGCTGCCCTGTCTCATCCCGGTCACGGGGTCTGTGGGAAGGAGGAAGAGAAGTTTCTAGCTGAGACAGTGCAGCTCCTCCTTGTGTGTCAAATAACCAGTGTAGCTTAGGTGTAGGGGACAGCAGCCAAGACCCTCCTGAAATGTTCAGCCCATGGACGCTGTTTACTTTCTAAATCTTTTCATAACCCAGGGAAGGTTGGAGATCTTCATGGTTTGGCGTCCTAGGTCAAAGGAGGCATTGGCTGGGGCAGAAGGGATGTATTTGTTGAAGTGGGAGGATCCAGTTCAGTCTGCTGTTCTGTGGTTGCCCCCAGTCTGAAACTGAGGCCAAGAATAGGGCCTCTCCAGGCCAGATCTGGTGAGCAGAGCATCCTCCATCCTCTATATAAAGGAAGGACAAAAGGACAGATCTCAAGAAATGAGGGGCTGGAGAGCAGGACAGAATAGGGACAAATACAGTGAGCAGCTGCAGCTGGCATCCATGTTCCAGCTCCTCTACCAGCTATGCTGGCCAAGCCCCAGTGGCCAGATCAGGGGCCAGATCCTGTTCACCCAGAAAACCTTCACTCCCTCTCCCTTGGGTAAATCCAGCTGCTGCCTGTCTGCTCCTGCTGCAGGCAGTCCCATCATCTTCCTGCCTGTGCATGTAGCCATCCCAGCAGTCCCCATCTCTGCCTCCAGCAGGTCTGCCCAGTGCTGCCCCTGCCTTCATTAGCAGGAGCTCCCACCAAATACCAAGTCCATGTAGTTCCTCCAGCTACAAATTCCTGAGTAGTTAGGTTAAAGGTGCATTGTTTCCAACTCCATTTATGTTCTGATATAGTGGAGAATGCTCTGAATCAAGAGTCTCATCAAGGCCAATTGTATGACATTATACTAGTCGTATACCCCCTTCAAGTTCCAATTTCCACACTGGAAAATGGGAGAATTAATAATAAATGCTCTCCCTACAGGGCTGTTGTGAGGACAAATGAGAGAATATATGGGAAAATGCCTACCTGTGTCTGGCGCAGGCTAAGAACATCTTTGTTTGAAAATAATATCTTTGTTGTTGTCTGGTTGGGAAGACAACATTGATTCTGAAAGTACTATATTTTTCACAAGTCTTTGACAAATATTACCTTTGAAAGCTTAGCCCCTGATTACTATTTGTGTTCTGGCATCTTCATTTTGAGAAGTGACATTAAATGCTCTGGTTCAAACAGGTTCTTTTGAAGAATGCCTAGTTAGTTCACTGCCTGGGCACACATAATGGTAGGTCAAGAGGCCAGAATTTGCATCCACACTTTGCTTCTCACCACACCCATATTCTCTAAGTGTCGGCTGATGACCGCCTTTACTAGAGTCACCTGGAAGCTTTTAAAAAATGCATATTCCAGAAAGAAGTGGAAGCAGGGTCTCAAAGAGACATTTATACATTCATGTTCGTAGCAGCATTATTCATAGTAGCCAAAGGTTGGGAGCAACCCAGATGTCCACTGATGGATGAATGAATAAACAAAATTAGGTATGCTCATACAATAGGATATTATTCAGCCTTTAAAAATAAGCAAATTCTGACACATCTACAACATGGATGAACCTTGAGGACAGTGAAGGAGGACACAAAAAGATGAATACTGCATGACTCCACTTGTGTGAGGTACCTAGAGTTGTCATACTTGTAGAAGTAGAAAATAGAATGGTGGTTGTCAGTGGCTAGTTGGGGTGGAGAATTGGGGATTAGTGTCTAATCAGTACAGGGAAGCAATTATACAGCATGGAAAGATTCTAGAGCTGGATGGTGGTGATGGGTACACAACAATGCAGGGTACCACTAAACTGAATGCTTAACGATGGTTAAAATAGTAAATAGTAAACTTTATGTTATGTGTATTTTACCACAGTTAGAAATAGTAACAATAATTTGTCTAAAAATAGAAGAAAGTGAAGATTCCTCAACCCACTCTGGATTCTCAAAAGCAGAGTTTCTAGTGGTATACTCAGGAATCATTTTAACAAGTTCTGCACATGATTCTGATACAGACTTCAATGTGAGCACTGCTGCTCTGCAATGTGGCTCACAAGTAGCATCTGCAAAACAAGAACACATGTACCAACGCATAAGCTGGACCAAGTAAGAAACTTTAATTTAAAAAATACCTTTTAAAAGGTCCTATTGTTTTCATGCAAACCAGAGTGATATGATCTGTTTTTATTTTGCTTGGATTAGATAAACTAGTAGGTGCCTTTCAGTCCTAACTCTTGGCAGTTCCTTCATAGGTCTAGCATTTTCTGGGAACACTTGCTGGGTCTTTCACCATTCTGGAACAGAACCTCTGCCTGGGGGTAAGGAGGTCCTACTGGCTCTTTGTACTAATTAAAACCCCTTTGCCAAACAAGCACTCAGGAAGAGAGTAAAGGTATCTGACTGCTCTGGGAGGAAGGAGCCTGCAGCAACCTCCTCCAAGGGGCCCACCACTCACACAGCATGTTTGGGCCTCTTGTCACTCAGCCCAGCACCCCAGTCTGCCAATCTTACCTTCTCTGACACCCCCCAGAACTGTGGCTGCAGAAAGGAAAACTAATTGAAGAGGCAGGTAACAGTAGCTGTGAGGTGACCTATAAGAACACTTTGTTTACAGAGGTACACAGGAGATTCTCATGCCTTGGCTGGTGAGAAGAAAGAGAAGCAAGTGGATTTGAGATATATTAAGAACACAAAACAGTCAGTCTTGTCTTGATTGGATATTGCTTCCAGCAGAGCATAGTTGTGCCATGGACAACCTGCTTTCCTTCCTAGAGGACATAAATGTTTCTCATGGACTAAATGTGGGCCACATGGGACAGAAAGAGCTGAGTGGAGCCATCTTAGGTTCTACCCAACAAGGCTACCAGAGGGGTGAAGAGGCTCCAGCAGCAAGAAGCTAGAAGGGATGTTGACATTCCCGAAGGCTGAGGAAGGCACATATGACCTCCTGCAAGAGAGATGCACCTGCTAAGACAAAGAATCACCTGGAAAGAGGTGCTCAGTAAAGGGGCCTGCAAACACTCCATGACAATTTCCTGTAAAATCTTTATCTTCTGATACAGAAACATCTTGAAACCGACAATCTCAGAGGCTTTCCTTTTGCCTTACCATTCCTCCCTCCCTCCCTAATACCACCCTGAAGAAGGGTCAGAAGCTGCCTAAGATTGGAGGGAGGAGAGAAAGGAAGCATGAAGTAGAGAAATTGAGAAGAACCGAATGCCACTTCCTTGATGCAGGTTGCAGACTTGAAGCAAGTCCTAGGTAGGAGAAGGGAGAAGAGTGAACATCAAGTCATGTTAAATTTTCATAATTACATAGGCCTGGGCAATCCAATGTCTGAATGAAGACTGAGCGTGACTGCAGTGACTTCCACCACAAGTCAGGAGAAAACCATGGGATTTGTGGAGTTTGCACCCAAGGGCAGACAAAGATCACCTGTTCCTGTGAATAAAATGCAAATAAACTGTGAGAGGCAAAATTAAGGAATTTACATTTTATTTACACTGCAAAGTGAAACTTTTGTAATAGTTTAAGCAGAAAAATAATGTTAAAAATTATATTTAAAAAGATCACCAGATGATATATGAAGAATGTATAATATAGGGCAAGAGCAGAAGCAGAAACAGCATCAGGATGCTCGTATAGTAGTCTAGTTGGGGACTTTTGTGCTTTTGGAAAGAAGCTGTAACAATGGAAATGGTAAGAAATTATCAAATTTGAAATACATATCTAATTAAATACTAATGGATTGAACTTGGGTCCTATGATTTGAAGGTCCCCTCCGAAACTCATATTGAAACTTAATCCCCAACCTGGCATTATTGAGAGGTGGGGCTTTTAAGAAGTGACTGGATTGTGAGGGCTCTGATGAATAAATTTATTTATTCATGGTTAATGGATTAATGGGTTATCATGACAGTGGAACTGTTTGCTTTATAAGAAAAAGAAGAGAGACTTGAGCTAGCATGTGAGCACGTTCAGCCCCTCACCATGTGATACCCTGCACTGCCTCAGTACTCGGTAGAGCCCCTACTAGCAAGGAGGCTCTCACCAAATGCAACTCCTCAACCTTGAACTTTTCAGCCTCTGTAACTGTAGAAATAAATTCCTTTTCTTTATAAATTTCCCAGTTTCAGGTATTCTGCTATAAACAACAGAAAACAAAGTAATACAGTGGGATAAGAAGGAAAGAGAAGAATCAAGGATAACTCGTAGATATAAGGGTGGAGCAACTGAGTAGATGGTGGGATCATTTGTTTTGATGAAGACAGAGGATAACCAGAAGAAGAGGGAGAGAGTGGATCAAGAAATAAGTTTTGCGCTTATTAAGTTTAAGATATCTTGTTAAACATCTAAGTCAAATGTGTAGCTGAGTATGACTTGTAGCTCACATTTGTGTATATAAATTTGACTGTTTTTATCTTATTGATATTGTTTATTTTCACGAGACTGGATGAGAGTAGAATTAATGCAGAGAGAAAGAGTCAGATAAAGAGGTAGTAGTAAAGGACAAGAAGGAAGACCAATGATGTAAAGAAAAACCAGGAAAATATGTCATCACAAAAGCCTGGAGAAAGAGCAAGTGTTCAGTTCACTCCACTGCTGCTAAGTTAGAGGAAAATGAGAACAGTGTAGCATTCACACTTGGCTTTAGCTTTGGCAAGACGCAGGTCATTCATGACCTTGAAAAGTACAATTTTAATGAAATGGTAGGAATAAAAAGCATGAATGAAGAGAATTGAGAGTATACTAGGGAGAAAGAAAATGGGAAGAGTGAGCATAGAGAACTCTTTGGAGTAGTTTTGATATATAAAAGGTTAAGGTTTTTCAGGCTTAAGAGGGCTCATTTTTAATGCATGAAGGTTATGCAAATGGAAATGGTCCAGTGAAGAGGAGATAATTCCAAGAGTTATATATTCAAAGAGGTGATGGAACCCAGGGCTTGAGTGAGGAGGTCTTAAATAGAATCAAGATCACCTCTTCCACTGTAAAAGAAAGGCAGAAATTGGTGCATAAAAATCCAAGTCAATATGTGGATTTAGTAAAAGTAACTTCCCAATGGCACCTATCCTCCGAAGAGTACAGATGTCCATGGTAACTTAGCAAAAGAAGGCTCAGGTTAGTGGTGGGAGTGGAAGGCAGATTGGCATGGCATGCAGGGTGAGAATAAGAAAATGGGAGCAATGAGTGTAGGTAATTATTTATAGGAAGTGTCTGTGAATGAGAAAAGAGAGATTGTGTGCTCACAGACTGGCAAAGTGGGCTCATGGGAAAGGTTGTCTTAAGGACTATTGTTTTGTGTTACAACGGGAAAAGCAAGGATATGTTGAAACGTTCAACTAAAGAAGGAAAAGCTGGATATATAGGAGACAATCTAAGGGTGGATTTTCCCGAAATGTCAGGGTTTGGGCTACAGAACAGCGGTGCAGGTATTGATCTTAGGAAGTAGAAGAAACACTTCTGTTGTAACAGGAATGCTGTGGGAATGATGGAACAAATGCAGATGGGTTTCGAATTTGATGGAAAGATATTATAGGGTCTCCCTTTACAGCTGGTTCCAAGTGCTCTGTGAAGTAGAAAGAAAGAGTGAGGAGAAACAAAAATAAAGTTTGAGAAAGTTACATTTTATAGTTTGCGTTAGCTAAAAAAAGGTATATCAAAACTAAAGAGTATTTGTAAAACAAAACAAGGAAGAGGAGAGGGTGCTAAGAAGGGAGGGAGAGAGGACTGAAGGGTAGGAACTTATGAATTTCCTCTGATATTTTTTATGTTGCAGATGGGAAACTTAATGGTGTTCACCAATAAGGAGATGTTATAAAATGTTGAAGATCAGTTCGTTCATGCTGTCACAAAATAGTCTTGTCAAAATATCACAACATTTTAGTGATGGAAGAGGCCTTGGATATTTCCTAGTCCAATAGGGGATAGATTGAGGAAGTCTCACAGATTGCTGACAGAAGAATTAGAATTAATAATACTTTATATGCCAATACCCAGGCTACACTGCACACCAGCCCCATGGCCAGGCCAACAAAAAAAGTCAGGGGGTCATTCCAAGCCAATTGCCAACTGTCTGAAGTGAAGTGCTGATGGTGGGGATGAAGCTGCCTGCCTGTTTCTAGGCTCAGCTCCTGACCCTTCCAGAAGGACTTCTCTCTGAATTCAGACAGGAATTCATCAAGCCACCTCTGCTTTTTTCTGCAAAAGCTCACTTCACTGTTGGGTTCAAGAAAGTCCAACAGTGATTTAGTAGAATAAGGAAGCACATTGGAGTGGGAATCTACAGCTCCCTCATTTAATGAGCTTAACTCCATGATGATAAAGAAGTAGCTGTTAACTAGCGGGGAAGCCCAAGTTCTCTTTCTTTCTCCACTCCTTTGCTAGGTAATGTGAGTCAGGTATGACTTCTCTGTGCTAATATAGTACATCTCCAGCTGCACTCTGCTGCACTGTTTGTGTCTCCAGAACGCCTCAAAGGAATGCTTTTAAAGTTGGGGCTTGCTAGTATTTTGGGTATGAATAGGAAAGTCTTCAAGTCACCATGCTTTGATATATCTTCTCATCATATTTTTTACCCCCATGTCATAAAGGCCCCAGTGTCATTTTATAGATGAAAAAATTAAACAAGTGACGCATGGTCCAGGAACACCAAAACAGCTCTGTAATGCCCCTGAGGATGCTTACAACAAAGAAAGGTTTTAAGCTAAGGCATACAATAGGGTTCATTATTTCACATAATGATACAAAGGCACTTTGGAACAAAATAAAATTGTGTTCATGGACTTTTCGGGATTTGTCATTTCCTTTTCATTTAGCATAATGGCAATAACCCAGGCTCCCATCAGCCACTATGGAAGATAGTGTCTCAATAGCCATAATGTCTGACAATGACTTCAGCACATCCAAGAACAAGTTCCCGTCATTATCTGAGAGAAGCTCTCAGACAAAGGGCAAAGCCTGGACCATTGTTACCATAGCCTAATGGGGATTCTATCTCTCTGGGAGGATGGAACATTTTGCTACCTTGCGTGTAATAATAACAGCCACACTTATTATTCTGGGGAGTGGAAGGCCTAGAATATGGAACCAACAAAAAGAAAAAGACAGTGGAAAACTAATATATCATTAACGTGCCTTTGGGAAAGCTCCTTTGGCAACTACAAAAGCATTATCCAGCACCAGTTTGCAGATAAGAATCAATTTAATTAATTTTAAATGGCTTTGCACATTGATAAAGCCAGTGACTGAAGAAAATGGAAACTTGACTCAAATAAATTCTGTGGAAAGAGCTGTTAAGAATAGCAGACAGGGCCGGGCGTGGTGGCTCACGCCTGTAATCCCAGCACTTTGGGAGGCTGAGGCAGGCAGATCAAGAGGTCAGGAGATCGAGACCATCCTGGCTAACACGGTGAAACCCCATCTCTACTAAAAATACAAAAAAAAAAAAAAAAAAAAAAAAATAGCCGGGCGTGGTGGCGGCCCCTGTAGTCCCAGCGGCTCAGGAGGCTGAGGCAGGAGAATGGCGTGAACCCGGGAGGCGGAGCTTGCAGTGAGCCGAGATCGTGCCACTGCACTCCAGCCTGGGCGACAGAGCAAGACACTGTCTCAAAAAAAAAAAAAAAAAAAAGACTAGAGTACAGAGCTCTGGAAATGTTCAACTTAACTACCCCTGTCAGTGAGTTTAGGAATGGTTGTTAGTTCCACAGTCCTTTAAGATGTAAGTATAGTAAGTATGAAAAGCAAAGACAGTTTCAAAAGACCCGAGTTCAAACCTTGGCTCTGCAATTTTTTAGTTGGGCAACTTGAGTGAGTTAATTAACATTTCTAAAGCCTCTGTCTATAATTTATGGACGATTTTCATAGCGTCCATTAATATATAATATTAGACTCTCCAAAAGCCTTTCATGAAATTCTCTTTGTCATCAATATGCTTGTGGTGAACCCTGGCTTCCTTGATTACCTGTTCAATCATCTGATCCCATAGTACCTATTCTAATGCCGATAAGCATATGGGGAATGATTAGTGGACCCACCACAAAGCTATCTGTCTAGGCTATGCACCCAAACATGGAACTTGAAGGATGTATAAGGTTCCATCTCTGGTCTTTGGGACTTTTTAGCAGTGTTCAAGAGATAAAATGTATGGACATGGTTTTCCCTTTTAATGTATTTCCATGGGTACACACCCATGGAAAGTGAAATGTCACACAGGGTCATCTGCACTTCATGCCCTGTGAATGGCACACATGCTAGTGTCGGATAAGATCAGAAGATGAGATGAGGAAAGAAGAAACTTCCTAGAGAGGAAAACTGATCTGAAAAGATGAATAGAACTCAGATTATTCCTGGCCTACTTAGACTGGAGGGACAAAATAAAATAATACGAAGACATATCTATACCTCAAGCCTAGTGCCCAGCAGATGGGAGGAGCCCAATTCTCCTGAATGAGTTCCATGTCCACTGAATTTCTAAAAACTATTCCAAACCTCCCCCATCATCAAAGAGGAATAATGGCAAAGGCCTGATCTCTGGTCTCTGGGAGTTTACAGCACTTGAGCTGCTGGCTGGGTCTGTTCTTAAGAGCCCTTGTACTGGGCCAATGCATGCCAAAACCCCCATCCTCCAGAAATCACATCCAAAAAACTTATTTGGAATTACTTTTGTACTCCTTTGCATCAAGGTCTGAGTCCTGGAAACTTTCTTACCAACCTAGGGCTTCCAGTGCCAAGAAATCAATCTTGCAGGATACAGTTCTTATGTGCTTATGTTCAGCAAGAAGCAGTTGATGAATAAAAAAAGATATTAAGACATGGTTTCCCCTTTTATGGAGTGCATAGACCAGCAGCATGAGTCAGACAAGTATACCCAGAACTATTCTAAAAGAACATATAAGCTAAATGACATGAGGGAAAGAGCATGTGCCACTGAGGCTCAGTGACGGAAGCAATCACATCACATAGCAGTGATCAGGAGAGGTTTCCTGTAGAATTGGAGATGGCATCTCTGTTTCTGTTCCCTTGTCTATAAAATGAAGATAATTGTAGTTCCTATTGTGTAGCATGTTTATAGTCATCAAATGAGTTATTCCATGTCAAAAACTAAAGATAGCTCCTGGCACATGGTAACTACTCAATAACTGTTAGCTACTTTTCGCTGCTAGCTGAGAATGAACTTGAAGGATAGGTAGTATTGTATAAATGGAAATGAAGGGTGGGGAAAGTACAATTTATAATCAAAGAAAAGGTAATATCTATCTTTCCTCAGCTGCTTATCTCATAACCAGGGAGAAAGAAATCAGAGACTGGAAAGCAGGAAAGTCAAGGGTGTGCCCAGGAAACAAAGCATTCTGTTGGGAGTGAAACAAAAGCTTCACATGGGAGAGTGGGAAATGAGACATTAAAGCAGTGTCGGGAGGGCCTTGAACGCTAGTCTGAGAATTTGCACAAATACTTGGTTCCTGCCCAAGCTTCTATTATAAGTAATAACCCAGTCATCCACATTGTCTTAATCTGGCAAGTCCTGCAGATGGACCCAATTCTGACTGTGGCATCACCTCTCAGCCATTAGATGGAACACAGTCTTTAGAGCATCAAAATGGCAAGCTTTCAGCAGAGCAAGGCAAAGTTATTGATTAGTGTTTTCTTTGTACCTTTTTTGTGTCTACTTGGGCTGAACAAATATTAGTTGAATGTGTCTGAGGACACTTACTTCAGGATCACTCAGCAAAATAAAGACCAGGCCAACTATGCAATTCAGGTGCTAGGGAAATGCTGAAAGTACACGCATTAGCCAAAAGTAGAGATGCATAGCACTTAAAACCAAACACAAAACTCCTTTTCAGAGAAACTTCCCTTTGCTGGAGAAAAATAGTAAACAGAAGACAAAGCAGCATGTCAGAGCATTAAAGAAGCGATGAGTGACCAGGGGCCAGGAGGGTAAGTTGAGTGTCGGTGCTGTCAGGGAAGACCTGGGAGTAGAGGGTGTCAGAAAAATCAGGAAGGGCACAGGCGTCAAAGAAGGCTTCATAGAGATAGAATATAGACAGGTGGAGAAAGACCAGGGAGGTAATAAATCTTAACAACCTAGTCCATTCATTTATTTATTAATGAATATCTATTGAGCACCTGCTATGTGCCAGGCACTGTCTTGGGCTTTATAACAGGAAACATAGTGAAGTCCCTGTCTTCATGGGGCTTATGTGTAAGTAGGTGAGACAGAAAATAAATGAAAAGGAAAATATATAATGTCAAACTATAGGTACTATGAATGAAAATAAAGTTGGCTTAGGGGAATAGAGGCATACTATTGATTGAGTGGTCGAGGGGCACATATTAGTCTGCTAGGACTGCCATCACAAAACACCACAGACTGAGTGGTTTAAGCAACAGAAATTTATTTTCTCACAGTTTTTAAGAGGCTGGAAGTCCAACATCAAAGGTTTATTCTAAGGCCTCTCCTTGGCTTACAGATTGCCAGCTTGTCGTGGTGTCCTCATGTGGCCTTTTCTCAATGTGCTTGCATCCCTGGCATCTGTGTGTGTCAAATTTCTCCTCCTTCTAAAGGCAACAGTCAGATCATATTAGGGTCCACACTAATAAACTCATTTGTTAAGTTTTATTTTGTTTTTAATTGACACATAATAATTATACATATTTTTGCTGTACGGTGTGATGTTTTGACACACATATATATAGCAGCTTCATTTTAACTTCATCACCGCTTTAAAGACCCTATATCCAAATACAGTCACATTCCAAAATGCTGGGGGTTAGAGCTTCAACATATGAAGTGGGAGGGCCCAATTCAATTCATAACAGGGGGGTCTTTCTGATGAAAGGGCATTTGAAGAGACTCAGATGCTGTGATGGATTAAGCCATGAAGCTATCTGGGGCAAGAGAGAACAGCTTGTACAAAGCATGCTCATCATATTCTCAAAACAGCAAATGAGGTGGGTACGGCTGGGAAATGTGAACAAAAAGAATAGCAGGACATGACAATGAAGAGGTAGCCAGGGGGCAGGTCATGTGGCTCTGAGCAGCTGCATTCAGAATTTTGGAATTTGGGAGAGAAAGATTTAGAAGGTTTTGAGGTCAGTGACATATTCTTCTTTGCATTCTAAAAGAGTGCTTTCTGGCTTCTGAGTGGGAATAAGACTGTAAGAAGCAGGAGTGTAAGCATGAAGATCAGGTAGGAGGCGGTTGTCCTGGAAAAAGAATGGTGGCTTGAACCGGGGATTACAGGGAGGTAGTAGTATTTATAGCCTATCGAATTTCCCAGTCTCTAGAGTAGGGGCTACAGTCAGCTCTGCCAGAAGACAGAGTTAGAGGCAATATCACTATCTTTCCTTTCCAGGAGAAAAAGACAAGTCAGGGGCTAACTGTAGACATCACAAATTTCAACCACAGACATCTTTCAAAAGACTGGAATCTTAAATGAACTACTCCACTCCATTATCTAAAGGCCCATTGCTGTGGAATGAATATTTTTGTCCTCACAAAATTCATATGTTGAAACTCTAATCTCCAATGTGATGGAGTTTGGAGGTGGGACTTTTGGAAGGTAATTAGATGATAAGGGTAAAGCCCTTGTGACTGGGATTATCAGCCTCATAAGAAGAGACAGGAGACAGATGGTCATTCCCCCTCTCTGCCATATGAAGATACAGCAAGAAGGCAGCCTTCTATAAACCAGGAAGAGGGTCCTCACCAGACACTGAATCTGCCAGCACCTTGAACTTGGACTTTCAACCTCTGGAAGAATCAAAAATAAATGCTGCTTGTTTAAACCACCCAGCCTATGCTATTTTTGTTATAGCAGCCCAAACAAACTAAGACACCCATTAACTTATGTAGTTAATGGTGAATCAGACAAGCAAATGCCAGCCTTCCCACTAATCTATGGAAATTCTTGATATTAAAAAGCATAGCTAAATAAAAATTTCCACAGTCAACTCTTAATTAGCCACACTAATGAAGCAGAAAGGTTGTGGATAATCCAAATACCTCATGTTTGTTACTGTTGTGTTAAATAGACTTCCCCATCCATTCAATGGATTCTCTCTCTTAACCTCTTTTGTTTATGTCAACAAGTTAAAATTGTCACTCAGCTAGGTGCAGTGGCTGTAATCCCAGCACCTTGGGAGGCCGAGGCAGTTGGATCACTTGAGGTCAGGAGTTGAAGACCCACCTGGCCAACATGGTGAAACCCTGTCTCTACTAAAAATACAAAAATCAGCTGGGCGTGATGGCAGGCACCTGTAATCCAAGCTACTCAGGAGGCTGAGGCAGGAGAATTGCTTAAACCCAGGAGGCGGAGGTTGCAGTGAACCAAGACTGCACCTCTGCACTCCAGCCTGGGCAACAGAGTGAGACTCCATCTCAAAACAAAACAAAACAAAAAATTGTCACTCAAGTACGGGGAACAGAAAATCTCTTGCCAGTATAATTTAACCTGAATGATTCTCCTGACACAATCTCAACAGAGTCCTTTAGACACAATAATTAATGTAATTTGCAGTTGGGTAGAACTTTCTAATTTTCAAAACAGTTTAACAACTATTTATCCTATCTACTGCTCAGAACTTCAGAGCAATTCCTAATTCCCTGTCCCCTTATTTCCATTAATGGAATTCCTATTTGGAGTATAATTCTTGAACTTTCTGGAGAAATATTTATCTCTTGGTAAGTGCCATGTTCCTTGCCTGGGTGAAGTTAGTATTTATTAACAAACAGTACCCATTTGTGGCCTTGTTCTCACTCCTGCTCTTCAGGTTCTGAAAAACTAATTCATTGCCAGTTCATTCAGCAAGCATCTGCTTTTCAGTCTCTCCCTCTGATGGGGTGTCCCAAAGTCTTGAATGAGAATGGATAGGGAAGGCAAACTAGAGGAAGCATGCTACCAGCCACAGGCTGGATTTTCCCTAGTAATGGAGCTGATATTCACACTCCGAATATCCAGGTTTTGTCTCCTTGTTGATTGGTATCCAGTGCCAAAGACAATAACCTTGAAACTTGGGATTGCTACTCAGACAATGTGGAAAAAAGATCAATAAAATCCAATCAAAAATAATTTTAATATCCAAAACATATTTGGTCCTGACAAGCAAGAAGAAGAAAAATGAAAATAATTAGAATTTGGTCATTCTAGAAGATCTTTTGAATTCGCCTACAAGATGTTTAAGTGTCTTGGCCAACAAGTAAAAAGTCCAACCTGGGTGGGGAATGAAGATTTATTTGAGTTCAGAATTAAGTAGAATATACTCTATTCTAAAGAATAGAGCCTGCATGACCAACCCCCCTAAGTTACGGAGGTTTTGCTACAGATATAATTAGAGCTCAGGACTAGATTTTGTTGCCAAGAAAAATCCAGTCAGTTTGGGGCCAAAATTCTTTGTTGTACAAACTTAAATGGCTGGAAAAGGTATCTCGCAATTGGCGTAGGGTGACATAATTGTTTAATTAGTGGGTACACATCTTTTAGCTAAGATAACTTAGAACTAAGTATGTAAATATGTAAGAAAATCATTCTTTCTGAACATTTGAAAATGCAAATTCCTGGGTGCCTCCTCCAACACTAGAGTCAGAATCTCGTATGGTGAGTCTGGGAATCTAGTTCTTACAAGCTGCCCAGGTGGTTCTTAAGCATATTTTAGTTTGAAAACTACTACTGCATATAGTTAGAATAATTTTAAAAAATTAATGCATAGCACTATAAAAGCATAAACATCATGTATCCAGGATTAAATGAGGGTTTTTCAAATTCAGAATGGCTTTCTTTCCAGCCATGGTGAAGTTGCAAGCATTTTATAAACGTCTCTCGCAGCTATCCTTCAGCCTTCAGGAAACCTCTGGTCCTGCCTCCCGTCTTCCTTTCTGGACACATTGATGTTGTTTGGTATCTATTTCCATATTAGGCTTTGTTTCTGTCCTTATATTTGTGACAAGATGAAATTCCTAACTGGCTGTTCACAGCTTCTCCCTCTACTATCTTCTCCACCGTGAATTTCAGTCCTTCCTTGGCTCCACTCTCTGCAGCCCAAGAGTGGATCCCCTCAGACCCCTATATCTAGCCCAGATCCCCAGAAGAACACTTGCTCCTTGACTCCAATGAGAGAGCATTTGCAAGGAATGGTCTTAGTGTAGCCACTATACTCTACCCTCTAGAAAATGGACTGATCCCATAGCAAGGCATGAATACACTTCGAGGCTTCGTTAATTACTCACAGTGTAGTCTACGAACCAGCAGAATCAGCATCACTGGAGCTTGTTGGAATGAAGAAACAGAGGCTCTACCCCAGAACTATGAAAACAGAATCTGCATCTTCAAGAGATCTCCAGGTGACCTATACGCACATTGAAGCTTGCAAAACACTGTTTTGAGACATCTTTTTTTGAAGTGTTAAGGCATCCAAAGGGTCTTTGAAGGAAATAATGTATATAGCGGTCCATTTCCAAAACAAAGTGCTTTGAATCTGTTTAGGTCAGCAAACTACAGAAAAAAATAGGATATCCTAGGTCCCTGCTTGAATAGCTGATGCCTGCTTGTTGGCCCTCCCACCCCCGTAGTTGCCCTCACCCAAACCAAAGAAGTTTAGTCGAAGATGAAAGTTTACTAACCTGCAAAATAGCTCATTTTGTCTGTTCTTATCAGCCTCCCAGCTACTTAGGTCATAAGTCAAATACTTAAAGAGCCCTTAAGCTAACTAGAATTGCAATGTAATGTGGGCTGCAACAAAATGACAAAGGACAACCCTAAAGAAAACACCTAAAGCCCCTACCCAACAACTGATAGGCAACGTCCAAGAAAACTGTGACCCCATAGTACTCAGCCTATGAGGAACCGGGGCAGAAACTGGGCACTAGGGGATAAATTGCATGTTGTAACCATGCTAGCTGTGCCTGCCCACCAAACACCCCACCTTGTAAGACTATCATTAAAAAGTCCTGCTTCTACTGTTCTCCAGATCTCTGAATCCATTCTTTGGGTTTGGATGGGCAAGTTTGTTTCTCACAACCTGGTGGCCCATGCAGGGATCTCTGCACCTGTGTGGAGTAAGACTCTGGCTGAGAGAGGAGACACATCCCACTTGATTTAGGTGGCCTGCACTGTCCCGGTGTCCCTGCACCCCATAGAAGCCATAGACAAACCCAAGACTGTTATTCAGGAGGCAGCAAAAGTGACACACAGAGAAAAGCAGGCACTGTGGCAACCAGGCAACCTCATGCATGAGCCAAGTTAGGAACAGTGGACTATAAGTCCTGCCTTGGTGGTTGGGCATTTTTGGAGGTCAAGTGTGTGTGACTGAAATGTATCTTAAGATACAAAGTGAGTGCAGAGTCCTAACCCACGGTTCCGTTCTGCGCGAGGGAAATGGCCGGAGACGGATGAAGCGATTCTCAGGGTGTGCAAGAAACCTCCAGTAGTGGGGGCTGAGTACACAGGGAAAAGCTCAGACACACAGACTAACCAAAAGTGGGAAACAAGAATTCTAGGCCTAGGGAACAAAGGAAAGAGGAACTAAAGAGACCCCCTCTGACATTCCCCTAGATATTCCATTGGGAAGAATGCCACAGGTTTGGAGGGATAACCCTAGAAGTAGGGACAAGGAAAAGGAAAAAATAATAAAGTATTACTGTTTTATCTGGCCCAAAGAGCCCATTTATCAGCCTTTGGTCTTTTGGCCTACATTTGGCTCAGATGAAGATTGGGTGTGCCAAGCTTTGATTATGTAAATGATAAAACCCCATCCTCATGAGAGGAGATGGGTTATGATCTTTGTTGGATTAGTGAATTAATCCCCATGTTCCCCCTTAAAGAGGAAGAAGAAGAACATAGCAGAGAACCCTCACCCCATGAAAAGCCCTAGGATCCCCTAACATGCTCCTCCCAGACATACATCTCAGAAAGTAGAGGACAGGGAGATCAGGGGGCAACAGGAAGGCCAGAGGAAGAGAAATCTGGGGGTCATGAAGGAGCTAAACCCAATGCTCCCTTAAATCGTTATCCAAACTTAAGGAAAAAATTAAAACAATGTAAGAAGGACATTGAGAATTTCCCTATTCCTTCTAAACAGCAGATGTCTAACATGTACCTCTTAGAGAAGTCCCCGTGGGACAGGGAGGAGCTGGATTTGTAAGTGTGCCTTTAACAATTACTGAGGTTAGGAATTTCAAAAAGGAAGTAAGGCCACTCTTGGAAGATCCCCCACAGTTTAGCAAAGCAGCTAGATCAATTTTTAGGAACCACTTTTTATACATGGGCTGAAATGATGTCAATCATAAGTATTCTGCTTACTGGGGAAGATTGGGGAATGATTAGAAGGGCAGCCATGACCATTTGAGAAAGACAGCATTCTCCTGGGCAAGGAGTCCTGCCAGATGATCAGAAAATCCCAAATGCGAATCCTGGATGCAATAATAATAACCCCAGGGACTGGGTCCAAATGCAAGACCTTAGGGAGCTAATAATTAAAGGGATTAAAAAGTCCACTCCTAGGACACAGAATGTATCAAAAGTATTCAAGATCCAACAAGAAAAAGAGGAGACTCCCTCTGTGTTTCTGCAGAGGCTCAGGGATCAAATGAGAAAATATTCAGGATTAAATCCAGAGGACCCAGTATGGCAAGGCCTTTTAAAGGTTAATTTTGTGACTAAAAGCTGGCCTTATATTACTAAGAAACTGCAAAAGATTAATGGATTTAATGAAAAACCGATTGAGGAATTACTGAGGGAAGCTCAGAAGGTTTTCGTAAGAAGCGAGGAAGAGAGACAGAAACAAAAGCCAAAGATCATGGTTTCCACTGTAGAAGAAGTAGACAGAGATTAAACAAGGACCCCTCTTGGAGGAAACAAGGGAATACTAGGTCTCAGCAGAGACAGGAGGAAAATGCAGGGAAAATATCCTAACACTGTAAGTGGATGTTACAAATGTGAGAAGCCAGGACATTTTAAGAGGGAATGTCCAGAGTGGAAAAAGGAAGAGGTGATCCCCCTTATGACCTTTGATGAAGAATAGGGAGGTCAGCAGTTCTTTCTGAGTAGGTCCCACCAGGAACCCTTGATAAACCTGAGGGTGGGACCCAAAGGGGAAGAAATGACCTTTTTGGTCAACACTGGAGTGGCTCGCTCCTCCCTAATATACTAACCAAGGGGCATAGAACTCTCCAAGGAAAAGTTAACAGTATGAGGGGTAAAGGGGGAGGGAGTTCAGGTTCTGATATTCAAGAAAATGTTAATTAGGTCGGGATCAAAACGAATTAAGGGGTCATTCTTACATTTTCCCAAAGCAGGAACTAACTTCCTGGGTGGAGACCAGATTATTAGATGAGGTTTAGGATTAGGAGTAGAGGAGGGACAAATAAAAGTAATGATGGGCCTCCTAACAGAGGAGGAAGAAAGTAAAAATGATCCCCTCGTGTGGGTTAAGGAAGGCAACAGGGGAGGATTAAAAATCACACCCTTCACTATAGAAGCTGTAGGGAACTAGCTTGCAGATGAAGCTGCTAAGCAAGCCTCCCTGGAGGAAGAAGTTAGACTGTTTAGCCTAATCCCAGATATCCCTAAAGTGGTATTAAGACCCCAATTTTCGGCCAGGTGCGGTGGCTCACGCCTATAATCCCAGCACTCTGGGAGGCCGAGGCGGGCGGATCACGAGGTCAGGAGATGCAGACCATCCTGGCTAACATGGTGAAACCCCGTCTCTACTAAAAATACAAAAAAGAAAAAAAAAATAGCCGGGCGTGGTGGCGGGCGCCTATAGTCCCAGCTACTCGGGAGGCTGAGGCAGGAGAATGGCAGGAACCTGGGAGGTGGAGCTTGCAGAGAGCCGAGATCATGCCACCGCACTCCAGCCTGGGCGACAGAGCGAGACTCCGTCTCAAAAAAAAAAAAAAAAAAAAAAAAAAAAAAAAAAAAAAGACCCCAATTTTCTAAAGAGGATGAGGAAACACTGGGCAAGATAGGGGCCACTCAAACTGAGGATGGTAGGTGGGTGCTCCCTGATGAGAGAGAGAGAAATGATAAGCAAACCCATAATGAGATAACTGATGTCAATACTGCATAAGGGAAGTCATTGGGGTTCCCAGGCCCTGTGTGATGCAATACTCAAGAATTATGAGTAGAGAGGGATTTATACCATTGCTAAGCAAGTGTGTGGGGGTTGTGTGACCTGCCAGAGAATAAACAAAAAGGTAGTTAGAAAGCAAGCTACCAGATTAAGACTTCCTGGGTTAAGGCCATTTCAAAGAATTCAAGTAAATTTTACAAAAATGCCCAAAATAGGGAGACTAAAGTATCTACTGGTAACGGTAGACCACTTCTCCGGCTGAATGGAGGCCTCCCCCAGCAACTGCCACTGCCAGGAATGTGGTCAAAATAATCTTAGAACAAATTATACACAGATTTGGCCTGATAGAAAATATTGATTCGGACAATGGGAGCCACTTTATCTCAAGGGTGCTATGGAAGGTTTACATATTAGATGGGATTACCACACCCCTTGGCATCCTCCTTCCTCTGCAAAAGTAGAAAGAACGAATCAAACTCTCCAAAAGCATATTACTAAACTAATCTTAAAAACTAAAGTGCCTTGGACCAAATGTCTCCCAATAGCACTGCTTAGGATTAGGACAGCCCCAAGGAAAGACCTGGGATTGTCCCCTTACAGGTTATTATATGGACTCCCATATTTAGGTAGGACTACTGACCTTCCTACTATGGAAACAAAAGACCAATTTTTAAGATATGATATACTGTCCATATTCTCCACCCTGTCATCCCTTAGGTTGAAAGGACTTCTAATTCAAACCCTGCCTCTTGAGTTCACAGGTCACCACTTGCTGCCTGGCAACTCAGTGCTAATTAAGACTTGGAAAGAAGACAAGCTCAGCCCAAGGTGGGAAGGTCCCTATCTAGTGCTCCTGACCACTGAGACAGCCATACAAACAGCTGAATGGGGGTGGACATCTTACACTAGGGTCAAGAGACTGGTAAAAGAACCCATGGAAGGAAGGGAAAAGCGTGAAAGGGAAGTGCATAGATCACCTAAGGAACTCTTAAAGCTAACTCTAAGGAAAACCTAGAAGGAAGCTATAAGCAGGCTCTGTCATTGGGGGTGGATGTGGTTAGAATTAATCCTACTACCAGGGATGAGAGGGTGCACAATTATTGGATGAAGCCAGGTGAAAGAAGAATATCCAGTCAAACTAACAGTCAACATACCTAGAACCTCCATCCCCCAAACCATAAAGTTCGACGCCTGCCAAGCCTTAGGGACTTAGGGAACCAAAGGCAGCTCTCCCAAGCAAACAAATATCTATGTCCTGAAACAGCTTGCTACTGGGGAAAGCCCTCTGCCAGCTGGAATGAGGTGTGGTGGACCACCCAGTTTCGAGGCTGGGTGAGACATTCTGCCAAAAACAAACCCTTAAAGAATAAAATACATTTGTATAAGGGCCCCACACTGCTCAACTGTAAAACTTTATAATGCAATCCTATATTAATTACCATAAACAACCTAGCTACTCTAGACCAGGAACCTTGGAGGTATAGATTAGGAATAGATATCTCAGGAAGCGATCTTGTGACGCAGTTAGCTTTCAGGCTAGTCACCAACTCCACCCCGAGCCCACCCAGGAACCTCGAATCCACTAGAGCCACCTATAACTCCCAGTCCTACTACTTCCTTTAACCCACCAGACAATAACCTTAAGAGAATAAAAATAATTAAGGTAACTGGCTTGAGGCAGACTTCAGAAATTGAGACTGGATATGGGGATATAGATGCCTGGGTTAAATGGGTCAAATTTTCAGTACTAGCTCTTAATTGAAGCAACTGCTACGCATGCTCTGCTGGACAGCCTCAGGCACAGGTGGTTCCATTTCCCCTAGGATGGGATACCAATCCCGAGGGAATGTGTTGCATGTTGGCTCTATACCAGAACAGGGATGCATGGGGAAATAAGATTTGCCAAAGTCTATCATTGCTCTTTCCTGCCTTGCAGAGATGAAACCCAAGAGCAATCCCCTCGTTCTCCATAGGAAATATAAACCACTCCTCTTGCCACTCTAGGCAGGAGGCAGAGTTCAATAAGCCAGTTGGAGAACTCTCTACTTGTACCCACATCCCAAATGTTACTGGTGAGTCAAACAAAGGCAACTACTCAGCTCTTTATATACCCTGGGCTGATGTCTGGTGGTATTATGGAAAAAGGAATCTCTGTGACCTATTACTGTCCAATTGGACTGGGACTTGTACCTTACTTCAATTGGCCATTCCATTCACCCTGGCATTCCATGAAATCCCCCAAAATCCACATGGCTACCGAAGTCAGAGAGATCTAACAAATTCATTTAATCCCAGCATTTATATTGACTCAGTAGAAGCCCCTAGTGGAGTACCTAATGAATTTAAGGCCCCAAACAAAATAGCTACTGGGTTTGCATCAGCACTCTTCTGGTGGTCAACTATTAACAAAAATGTGGATTGGATTAATTACATCTATTATAATCAACAAAGATTCATCAACTGTACTCGAAATGTTTTCAAAGGAGTGGCTAGCCAGTTAGATGCCACCAGCTGAATGGCCTAAGGTAACAATTTGCACTAGACATGATCTTAGCAGAGAAAGGGGGAGTATGTGTCACGCTGGATGGAAAGTGTTGCACTTTCATTCCTAACAATACTGCTCCGGATGGAGCCATCACAAAGATGTTATAAAGGTTAACAACTTTAGCCAATGAATTAGTGGAAAATACCAGAATAACCCATTTACTAATTGGCTAAAGAGTTGGTTCGGGAAATGGAAAGGAATGGTAGCCTCCATTCTAATGTCCCTTAATAATAGTGGCTGGAGTCCTAACAGCTGTAGGGTGTTGCATTATCCCCTGTGTTAGAGGGTTAACCCAAAAATTAATCGAAATAGCCATCGACAAACAAATACCCACAACATATCAACTATTATTAGAAACCAAATCAGATCTACTGTCTTATAATGAAGAGAGTCAACAGCTCTTAAAACAATTAAGGACCAAAGGACACAAAAATACATGTGGAAATGGGACCAATAGGAGTAAAAAGAAAAAGAGGAGGGAATTGAAGGAAATAATGCATCAATGTGCATTGCAATCACCTGTAACTCTTGTTACAAATGCAAATTCCCAGAATCCCACCTTAGAGATTTCTGACTCAATAGACTTGAAATTTACACTTTATAACCACTAGCAGCCAGTGATCCTTGTGGGACAGAAACACATACCAGGGAACAAGGAACAAGGAAGGAAGCCAAAGGTCACAGCCTGCCTCTTTGGTTCAAATGGGAATCAAGCCTGAGAGTCTAACATCGTGCCATGTGCTCTGAGGATGAGATGGCTCGTCCAAGTCTTTGTCTAAGGAATATGGAACCCTCCACAAAGCATATGAATTATTTATACAATTTCAAAATGAAGTTTTATTATTTTAAACCCAGTAACTCTTTAAAGAATCTTTATTTTGCATCAGTGTACATGTATCTATATTTGGTTTTGCATAAACTTGTCCAGAAATGCATTTATATAATTGAAGTTTAAGTCCAAAAATGCTAAAAAGCTGGCAACTGTTTAGTTTTTCTCACGTTGTTTTCCTAGCTACTAGGTATACACCAGCATATTAAGCTTTATGTGCCATGAGAAACTGACTTGTCTCTTTTAACAGTACTCTGATTGGGGATTGAATTACTACTTCTAAATGAATTGCAGGACATTAAAAATGTATAGTTTCAATTATATTGAGATAATTACTCAGATGAATTAAACCAAATATCAGAATTATGTAAAGATTAAGAAAAAACTTCTATTTGTTCTTAAATTGTTTGGGAAGAATAAGGCAAACAAGCCTGGCCTGCTTGCTTCTGAAACAACTAGTGTGACTATGCTCAGCCCGTGTATTAACAGGCAAAGATATCGTTGAAGAATGTTAGCTCTTTTTACCTTAAGGGATGCATTTAGACAATGCCCCTGTAAAAAATAATTATGTTTAGCATAAAGCATGTGGAAAGTGCTTCTGAGTAGATAGGCAAATTATTATTTTTTTTTAATGCTAGGGTTCTTCTCATCAATCCAAGTTATTTTTTAAGAGTATAAATGATTTATTATTATTATACTTTAATTTCTAGGGTACTTGTGCACAACGTGCAGGTTTGATACATAGGTATACACGTGTCATGTTGGTTTGCTCCATCAATCAACTCGTCATTTACATTAGGTATTTCTCCTAATGCTATCCCTCCCTGAGACCCGCCCACCCCCCGATAGGCCCCGGTGTGTGATGTTCCCTGCCCTGTGTCCAAGTGTTCGCATGGTTCAATTTCCACTTATGAGTGAGAACGTGTGGTGTGTGGTTTTCTGTCCTTGTGATAGTCTGCTGAGAATTATGGTTTCCAGCTTCATCCATGTCCCTACAAAGGACATGAACTCATCCTTTTTTATGGCTGCATAGTATTCCATGGTGTATATGTGCCACATTTTTTTTAATACAGTCTATCATTGATGGACATTTGGGTTGGTTCCATGTCTTTGCTATTGTGAATAGTGCCATAATAAACATATGTGTGCATGTGTCTTTATAGCAGCATCATTTATAATCCTTTGGGTATATACCCAGTAATAAGATTGCTGGGTCAAATGGTATTTCTAGTTCTATATTCTTGAGGAATTGCCACATTGTCTTCCACAATGGTTGAACTAATTTACACTCCCACCAGCAGTGTAAAAGCATTCCTATTTCTCCACATCCTCTCCAGCACCTGTTGTTTCCTGACTTTTTAATGACCACCATTCTAAGTGGTGTGAGATGGTATCTCATTGCGGTTCTGATTTGCATTTCTCTGATGACCAGTGATGATGAGCATTTTCTCATGTGTCTGTAGACTGCATAAATGCCTTCTTTTGAGAAGTGTCTGTTCATAGCCTTTGCCCACTTGTTGATGGGTTTTTTTTTCTTGTAAATTTGTTTGAGTTCTTTGTAGATTCTGGATATTAGCCCTTTGTCAGATGGGTAGATTGCAAAAATTTTTTTCCCGTTCTGTAGGTTGCCTGTTCACTCTGATGGTAGTTTCTTTTACCCTGCAGAAGCCCCTTAGTTTAATTAGATCCTATATGTCTATTTCGGCTTTTGTTGCCATTGCTTTTGGTGTTTTAGTCATGAAGTCCTTGCCCATGCCTATGTCCTGAATGATATTGCCTAGGTTTTCTTCTAGGGTTTTTATGGTTTTAGGTCTAACATTTAAGTCTTTAATCCATCTTGAATTAATTTTTGTATAAGGTGTAAGGAAGGAATCCAGTTTCAGCTTTCTACATATGGCTAGCCAGTTTTCCCAGCACCATTTATTAAACAGGGAATCCTTTCCCCATTTCTTGTTTTTGTCAGGTTTGTCAAAGATCAGATGGTCATAGACATGTGGTGTTATTTCTGAGGTCTCTGTTCTGTTCCATTGGTCTATATATCTGTTTTGGTACCAGTACCATGCTGTTTTTGTTACTGTAGCCTTGTAATATAGTTTGAAGTCAGGTAGTGTGATGACTCCAGCTTTGTTTTTTTTTTTTTTTTTTTTTTTTGCTTAGGATTGTCTTGGTAATTTGGGCTCTTTCTTGGTTCCATATGAACTTTAAAGTAGTTTTTTCCAATTCTGTGAAGAAAGTCATTGGTAGCTTGATGGGGATGGCATTGAATCTGTAAATTATCTTGGGCCGTATGGCCATTTTCACGATATTGATTCTTCCTATCCATGAGCATGGACTGTTCTTCCATTTGTTTGTATCCTCTTTTATTTCGTTGAGCAGTGGTTTGTAGTTCTCCTTGAAGAGGTACTTCACATCCCTTGTAAGTTGGATTTCTAGGTATTTTATTCTCTTTGTAGCAATTGTGAATGGGAGTTCACTCATGATTTGGCTGTTTGTCTGTTATTGGTGTAGAAGAATGCTTGTGATTTTTGCACACTGATTTTGTATCCTGAGACTTTGCTGAAGTTGCTTATCAGCTTAAGGAGATTTTGGGCTGAGACAATGGGGTTTTCTAAATATACAATCATGTCATCTGCAAACAGGGACAATTTGACTTCCTCTTTTCATAATTGAATACCCTTTATTTCTTTCTCTTGCCTGATTGCCCTGGCCTGAATTTCCAACACTGTGTTGAATAGGAGTGATGAGAGAGGGCATCCTTGTCTTGTGCTGGTTTTCAAAGGGAAAGCTTTCAGTTTGGCAAATTATTTTTTAATGCATGTATGGAGATATAATTTACATATCATTAACATTCACCTTTTTTAAAGGTACAATTCAATAATTTTTGGAGAAATTATTCCATTATACAACCATCACTAAAATCCAGTTTTTGAACATTTTTATATCTCCATAAAATCATTTGTACACATCTATAGTTAATCCCTATTTTCACTCCCATCTCTGGATACTACTAATCTAAAGCAAGCTATTATTAAATACCTTTATTGAGAAAATGATACTCTTCTTTCAGGTTCTGTTGGCTCAGTCATTTTGGGAAGGAATGTTAGAAAAATACTGCAGGAGAGCATTCCATCTACAAATATATCAGGATGCTTGCACCTAGTACCTAAATATGTTGAGAATAACAAATATTTGGCAATCTAAGTTTAATGGTTACATTTAAACCTAAAACAGAATCCATGGGCTGGGAGTCAATATTGGCAGGAATTGCAATGCCTGAAAAGACATTTACTAGTAATTAAAACCCAGATGGACTGTGAGCAGTTTAATAAATTTACCTGGAAGAAACCTGGGCTCTGGTGATGTTTGTAACCTGTTTCAAGGACCTCTGAAAAACACTGAGAAGAATAGAAGGCTTTTTGGAATAGGAAAAGTATATTTTTGTAATAACTTTATTTGCCTCTATTCACTGCTTATACCATTGATTTACTGAGATGCTTGGGTTTTTTTTTCCAAAATCTATTCGCTTAATAAATATTTGAGTGCTTGCCATGTGATAGGCATCGGGGTAGAATAAATAAAAGAATAAAACACCTTTCCTACCTTCATGGAGCTTATAGTCTAATATTCTGTGACTTGAAGAGCTCATGCAAATCAGAAAGAGAATCGCACACTCGAAATTAAAGCAAAATTGTACAATGTGCAGTTGACTGGTGGTTAAATGTTCTATATTTCATTGACCTACTAGCTGATTTCATGTTATGGGCTGAGACTTTTAGAGACCTTGGGATAGGAAAAATGTATTTTGCATGTGTGACAGATGTGGATTTTTAGGAATCCAGAGGGTGGACTTAGAAAACAGAATAAAGACCTTCTCAAATATGTCCATCCTAACCTGTGATATGTTACCTTACGTGGCAAAAGGGAATTTGCAACTGTAATTAAGATGATAAACCTTGAGGATAGGGAGATTATCTGGGTGAGCCCAGCTAGTCACATTGAGTCCTTAAAAGCAGAGAACCGTTCCCAGCTGTGGACAGAGATAAGATAATAGAGGAAGGGTCAGAGAGATGCAAGGTAAGAATGCAGCAGGCAGCTGCAGGCTTTGAAGATGGAGAAAAGGGTCACAAGCCAAGGAATGTGGGCAGCCAGTAAAGCTAGAAACATGAAAAAACAGACTATCCCACAGTACCAACAGAAAGGGCACACAATGCTGCTAACTCCTTGATTTAACCCAATTAAACCAATTTTGGGCTTACAAGCTATAAGACTGTAAGCTAATACATCTTGTTTAAGCACTAAGTTTGTGGCAATTTTTTATAGCAGCCATAGAAAACTAATACATTATATTAGGTGACTTAAAAACATCTCCAAAACCATTTCCCTTACCTGTAAAATTAAGATAATAGTACTGATAGAACTGCCGTGAGGATTTGATGTGGTGACTGTGAAGTGTTAGGCACTGTGACTGGTGCCTAATGACTATTTAGCAATAGGTTCAAAAATGTATTCACCAAAGAGCTTCTAAAAAGAGACAGAGGAAGTGGTTCTTACCACAAGCCTGAAGGCCCAGACTTTTATCCAGGGCCTGGTACCAACAAGATATATGTGAGCTTAGGTGACTCATATTCCCTCTCTGGGCTGCAGTTTTTGCAAATGAGGAATTTGAACTAGAAGATTTATTTTTAAGGACACCACCTTCTCTGACATGGATGAATAACATAAAAGAAAAGCCATAAAACTTTTACATTCAGATATGAAGAAGTAAAAGATTATTATAGCAAGGATTCACTTCAATATTTAGAATGTGAAAAGGCCCTTTGAGGAAAGGGGAGGCTTGAGCTAGCTGGCTGCTTCCATGCTACTCTAGAAGAGAAAATGGTGGGAGCTCTGAAATATCCACTCCAAAAGGCTCCAAACCCCACATCCCACATGTGTACATTCCCCTGGAATTAAGATCCCAGGCAAAGCCCTGGGAAGACTTTCACATAATAATCCCTGGAGTTATTTCAAACATTAATCAGGACACTTAAAGCATAACAAAGAGATAAAAAGCCCTTTTCTAGTACTATTTAGAAGCAGTTGCCAAATGGCAAAATACCTTTGACTATTTTCTGTTACAGAGTTCTGTCACTGGGGGCTGTCACTGGAAAAAGCAATGAGTCAATGAGAGTGAGTCTGGAATTTTGAGTTGAAGAAAAAGTTGCGTCCATGGTAGGCCCTGGAATATTTCTGTTCAGCCTCTCTAACGACAAACACTTTTTCCTTGACAGGTTATATCAACCCCAAAGTCTGAAGCAATGATCAGGTCTGAGGGGAAATGATAGCTTCACACTGGAAACCAGGTTGTCTTAACAGGACAACCAAGGTTGGAGCTGGCTTTGGAAAATGTCTGGCCTCTGAAGTGGATCCTTTGGTAGTGGTGGATGTCAGCAGAGTCTGGCATAGGGGCCCCTCTGTGGAGACCAACCTTCGGGAACAGGCTGCCATGCTGGACAGAACAGGAGACTGGGCTTTTCCTTCTGCCGCTTTTGAGACTTTTTTTCTCCCTTCCTGGCTTTAGGGAGTCCTGGGCTGGGACATTCACACCAGGGATTTTTGTAGCTTCTCTAGTAATTTAGTTGTTTAATTTAGACTTGCCCATTCCTTGGGTTAGAAATATTTAACTCTTAGCTCTCTTCACTTCTTGTGTGTGTGTGTTTTTTTTTTTTTTTTAAAAAGAAAAATAACTTGGGTTTTTGGAGAAAATTACATGAAAGATGGGAGGAAAGGGGTATCTTTTTCTTATACACAATTATTGTGAATATAAATTCATAAAATTATTTGATGGGCAAACTGATAAAATGAGTTTTATTGACTGCATATATCCTTTGGTTTAGGAGTCCCCTAGGAATCCACCCTAAGTAAATAATCATAAAAAGTATATTAATATGTGAAAAGGTATTCATTGCAACATGATTTATTTGAGTAGCAAAATGGCAATAACCTAAGTATTCATCATCAGAATGGCTAAATATATTTTAGCACAACCACACAAATAGAATATTAATCGGACATTTAAGATATGGAATACTTATGATACATATGACAAATATATTAATATTTATATAAATATAAGGAGAGAGATTTGGAAATATATCTAGTTTATAATTTAACTTAAAAGGCATGTTAGACATTAATAAATATACTAAGCTATTTCCATAAGGAATACTTATATTTCTCTATTAAATAAAGCTATAAGGTAATCTCAAAACTGTTAAGCTGATTAACAAAAGGTAATCATTGTATGTATTACAATTTCAATCAGCAACAGTTATACCATAGCAATAATAGATTAATTATATCATGTTCTCAGCCCTGGAAGAAGGTCTGGCCCTGGTTATTGGGCTGAGAAGGAGGAGTCGGGGGAAGGCACGGGAGAGGTAGCTATAGAAATAAGAGCATCTGCTAGAAAGGGTCTAGGGAATAGAGATGTACAATAGCCAGCTCCCAAAGGAGAGGATGTAAGATGATGCCTTAGAAACCTACCAGGAAACAAAGGAAGGGGACAAGAAGACACCTACCAAGTGTACCTGCCGGGAGCTAGTGGGTGCTGCTTCACCCTGACAGGATGCAGGATGGGGCCAGGCCTGAAAGCTTTTTGACCCAAGGGAAACTACAAATCCATGCTTTGCAAGTTGAGTTCTTTTTATCCTTTTATCATCCAGGTGCCTTCTCTTAATCCTTTCTGGGTTTTTTTTTTTTTTTGGTGTGTGATCATGGTGGATTAAAAATGGCCACAATCTCTACCACTTCTCCCATCAAAATGTGGAATCTAATTCCTCTGCTGTGTGATATTGAGCCAGCCATGTGACTCGATTTGGCCCAAGGGCCATGAACAAACTTGACTCAAGCAGAGGTTAATACGTGCTTGTGCACTGGGGCATGTCCTCTTGGGGTTCTGCTTTGAGCTAGCTCTGCTGTAAGGAAGCTTCTAGCCCCCTGGAAGATGAAAAGCTATGTGGACAAGGACCAAGGAGCCCAGGCTGGTCTTTGTGCTGATAGGGACAGCCAGCACCCCCTGCCACACATGTGAGTGAGGTCATCTTAGACAATCCAGCATTCGATTCATCATCTGTCATCATAGAGGTGAGCCCAGGAGAGACCACAACACCCTAAGCAGCAATAAATAATTTATGTTTTAAAGCCAAAATTTGGAGTATTTTTAGTGCAGCCATAGATTGTGGATATAGGAGTTATTAATGTTCCTTTTGTAAACTCCACTGAGTCTCAGTTGTACTATGAAGTAACAACACTGGTCATAAAAGCAGAAATTAAAACACAGAAACGGTGAGACTGAGGCCAGACCATTTTACATTTACCACCACTTCCCCAAACCTGGAAAGGGAATGCCCTTCCAGAGCTCCTTTCTGCTCAAAGATTTAAATCTTTCAAAGAAATCTTACCTTACAAACCATTTTACCCTGTAAGGAGCATATGAGAAGCCTTTTTGATTCATGAGCGGAGAAAAAAAAATGCCATTATTTAATAATAATAAAATTGGATGACATTTCTTAATCACTTGCAATGCAGTAGGACTGGAATAGGCACTGTCATCCTCATTTTACAGATGGAGAAACTGAGCCTCAGAGAATTTGAGTAACTTGACCGAGCTCACACAGCCAGCAAATTGCAGAGCCAGGCTTCAAACTCAGATTCGCTGATGATAATACCCTTACTGTTAGCCACTATCCAAACCTTCCTCTCAAGTTGTGTGCCAATTTCCTTTTATTTTCCTGAACAATCCACTCAGATGGGAAATGAGTCACTTAAGTTTCTGAATCTGCTTTCTCACATATATAATTGAAGCAGTGACCGTGCTTATCTCATAGGGTTTTGATGAGGATTAAATGAGATAGCAAGTGAAAGCCCATAGACACCGTACCTGGCCTGTCATCAGCAATTAGTGGTAAATAGTTGCAGTGACAACAATGGCAGCAGCGAGGGCAGTGGAACCAGCAGCATGATTAGTCTCAAAGGGAATGAGAACTCACTGGTCTAGTTACATCAGTTGCTGAAGGGAGACCGTGTTTCAGTCCTTGACTTAGATCCACAATTCAATGTCTACTGCAAATCCCTCAGATGTGCCTGATGCTTGCGGTGTAAATCACCAAGACTCACACTTCAGCTTCTGAGGATGAGGGGACAGGGAGGCACCAGGAATCACTCCCCCTACAATGAACAGACCTGCAGTTCTTTGCTTGTCAGGGCCCTTGTGAGCGGATGCAGGATCTAAATTCGATGTTTCTGTTGGGCCAAGACAGGTACAGGGTCACGTGCAGAGTCAGTGCACTGTGGGCTCTGCTGATCATCACCTGGGCCCCAAAATTGTGTTTTGGCTCTCACCTGTTCACTCCGTCACCTTTACATTTATGCTGTTCAGATGAGCAGCCAAATGAGAAGTTAATTGGGTTTTGTCTGAGAGATTGTGACGTGTGCATTGTCACCTTGCTTTTGTAACTGGGAACATTTTTTTAAAGGAGGCAGAAGCCTAGAGTTCGCTAAGAGGCATGGAGTGCTTCCATAGCCCTGCCCTGCAGATAAAGTCCATGCATTTTAAATGCCATCCAGTTTCCTCTGCAGCAGATAATTCTCCTGTCATCACCAAGAAATCCTCAGCTGTCTGACACTCTCCCTCCCCCAAATACAAAAGGCCTTTGGGAAACTGAAAGATTCCATTTATTTCCTAAAACACTATATTCCCTTTATCATCCACCCACAGCTCTTCATTCAGAAAATGTAGAGAGGGTGACTGTCAATGTATTGACAATCAAATGTCTTTGGAATCTAAACAAAATTGACTTTAACCTCTAGTCCTCATCCTAGGGAGGTTCAATGTTCACCCCAAGACATCTGCAAATTCCCAGGGCCTAACAATTCCCAGGGCATCTCATTTTCATCTCTTTGTCCTTCTGAACCTCCTCTTTGCTGGGCTCTTGAATAGCTCTCCCTCCCCTGCTCTTCCCACTCCAATCATTCTCTTCTCTCCTACCCACTGATCCAAAATAGAACATCACCACTTTTCCCTGATTTCCTCAATGTTGAACTCTTGAGACAGCTGTGTGTATTGAAATTTTCTTAAACTGCTGGGCTGGGAGTAGGGGGAGATCACATACAAACAACACAGATGATCAACTTAATATAGAACACTTAAACCTTCCTGTTCTTCAAAAACCCATCTGCCAAACCTTCCTTGGGGGACTTTCCACTGATCATATTTATGTCTAATGCCTCCCTACCTCTTACAAAGGACAGTCACCATTTTGGGAGGCCACACACAACTGAAAATTCCCTTCAGTGTCTTCTGCAAGAACGTCCAGTTTTCTTTTGGTCTCCCTTCCTCCTGCCTCCTTGACCAAGGGGATCCAAATTCAGACTTGTCCATCCATGTGTGTTTCTAAACAAAGACATTTCTCCTTTGGAGAAGAATTCTAATGTCGTAAGTTTTGGTTAATACTTTCTAGGGGAAGTTGCCTTGTGGAGTGAAAGAAGCTGTGAACTAGGAACCAGAAGACATTAGTTTGAATCCTGGCTCTGCTGTTTCCTAAGTTTTGGCCGAGAAAAATAACTTAATATCTCTGAGCTTCTTTCTTCTTTGGAAAAATGCATCTAATGAATCCCTTACAGGGTTCATATTAGGGCAAGCAAAAGAGTGGCTATAGAACCTAATCACAGTGCAAGTCTGAGTGTGATTCAGAAATGATTGTTATATGCTAGACAGTTTGGGTGACACATAGCAACTATTAAATAAGCTTGCCCCACTCTCATAAGCTCACACTTTAGTTGAGGAGGGCAGGAGACGGAGACCCTCTGCAAGGGGGCCAGGAGCCCAGAGGAGGGGGAGATCCCTGCAGGGTGGGAGTGGAAGAGGAGGCTTCCTCCAGGGATGGGCGGTGGCTCAAGCTGGGCCTTGAAGGGTATGATGAGGGGAGCAGCAAGACCATTTCAAAGCAAGAGGAAGATGAGACATTGGGATCACATTTCCCATTGTCAGGAGATAAACTCAAGGTCTGTGTGGGCTTCTTAAACTAGAGGGTAAACAACTTTTTTGAAATTCTGATGAAACCTCTGCATCCTGTACACAGAACATTTTGCACAGCATTTCAGAAGGCTCACTAACTCTGAGTCCAGGTGAAAGGCCCTTGGTTTCAGAGCTTTATTCCCCTGCTTCCTTAACTCCCATGTTTCCCTCTTTGAATCCCAAATTTTTCAACCTTAGGATGCATCTCCACTGAATTTTCCTGGACTGTTTCTATGCATAGGAGATATTGTGGTTTCACATAGCCTAAGAAATGAGACCCCTGTTTCATGCCCAAGTTCAGAACTAATTAAGAGAGAAAGGAAAAGGAACCAGGTAGATGAAGACCAAACATTACCCTTATTAGTGAGAAAATGTGTTTTGGATAATGTGGCTTAGAAATGTGTCAACTGTGAAGCTCCTAACACTGCCTGTCCCCAGGTTAGGCGTTGGGCCAGCACACTGGAGGGAAATACTGAATGTACAGAGCACACAGGCTTATTCAGGATCACAACCATGCACTACTTGAGGAGAAGAGAGCAAAAGGAGAATGGATTCCTCTTGATTGGGACATTTGATAAATTCTCTCTGCCCAATCAAGAAACATACAATCATTGTTTCTTCCTTAAAAAAGGACTCTTTTGTTCATGTCCTTTGCAGGGACAGAGATGAAGCTGGAAACCATCATGGTCTTCTCCCATGATAACACATTAATACATTAACCTGTTAAGTCATTAATCCATTAATCCATGAGGGTAGAGCCTTCATGATTCAATCGCCTCTTAAAGGCCCCATCTCCAAATATAGCCACATTGAGGATTAAGTTTCAACATGACTTTGGAGGGTGCATTCAAACAATAGCATCTTGTAACATAGAAGTGGTAGATTATGGAGAGAGAGAATTGTGTTCTTCTTGTCCTGGATGCAACATCTTGGATTCACAAATAAAACCAGAAGGCAAGAGTATAGAGGTACCAAATGAATTAATGGCATTGGAAAATACAAATGTTTAGTCAATAAAAAATACACAAATGGTAATAATGAACAGCTGCTGGCTAATAGGCTATCAATGATTATAGAGCCAATATTTCACCAAAAAAGTTGAAAATAATTTTATGCCAGTAGCTCAACAAAATATAGAATTGTGGATTAATGGATGACACGGATATGAAGCAGAGGGTATCTGTGAAAGTGCCTACTTGATTATGAAATCTGAACTGCTCATAATTTTAAAAGAGATGCTTCCAAGGAAATATAAAAGAGATTCAGCACAAACCCTCCCATACCTCCTTTGAATGGCAGAATCAAAGGTAGACAGAAAACTGGTAACAAAGGAGAATTGCCCAGTCTGGGCTGGATAACAAGGCCAAGCTATCCTGCATTATGAAGTCCAGGCTCAGTGAGACAAAGACAGAGGCACCATGCAGGCTGGCTGGCTGGGAAGGTAGCAGCACCCACTATGACCAGTGTGATCCAGGGCAGGATATTGGGACATCACCCTGGAGATGACATCACCCCACAGAGAAAATTCAAGAAGAAAGAGGATCCATGGAACAGCCTGGGTTCAAGATGAGGAGAAAAAAAACACCAAGTTTGGAGGTTAGATGCAGATATAAATGGTCCTGTGCAGTTTCATTTGACAGTGTTTGTTTATGTCAGCACCCTTTCAGAAACCCTTGGGCTCTTCTTTACATTCCCACAAGTGCATTTGTAACACTTTTAAAAGAAAAGCATATTGCTTTTGGAGCTTGACAGATACCATCTGATAACACACAGGGAGAAGACACTCCAGCGTGTCAAATAAAAAGAGTGCAGATACAAACAGATTTTTGGATACAACATAAAAGAAGATACAGGAAAATGAAATTTATGGGATGTATTTCAGTAGCTACATTGTAACCAAAGGAATAGGAACATCATGTTGCCATTTATACCTGAATAGGGAAACTACCAATCAAATAGACATGTGTGAGATGGTGAAGGGGATGGCAGTAGATAGGGAGTAAAAATGAAATCTATTGATTAAAACCACAAAGAATTAGCTGAAAAATGTGTGTATGGCAGTAGGTCAATGAAATATAGAATTTCTAATTTCATGCCTTTTGCCACTCTGTCTTTAAAGTCTCCACTCGTATCTCCCGCTTCCCCTCTCATCCAAGTATCCCACTGTATTTCAGTCTGACAAGTTCTTAAATCAGGGGCTGAGAAAGAGAAGGCGGTTTATAGCTCCTCAATACCACCAACCCAGTCATTATTCAGAAGTAACAACTGGGATATATTCTACTGTTGAGATATAAAAGGTTTTGAAAATAGAATAGCATTCAATGCTCAAGCAGCTGGGATGTTTTATAACTGGAGAATAAAAATATCTACTACTTCCCTCGAAGAGACTCAGTAGCTGTATATATTGCCATATATTCTTAGTATCATAACTTGAAACCGTTTCACTAACTCAAAATTCCAGATAATTTCAGGATATATATTATAGAAATAAAAACTACTGAGGTTGCAGTTGGAAGAGACCTCCCATATCAAACTCCTCTGGTTTAGAAGGTAAAGCAATGAATTTATATGTATAGACTTTGGTAAGCCTATATAGTTTAAGATCTCCCCAAAATCTAAAAGAAATGCAATATGTTTTAGTTAATGACAATTGTAGACAATTGTCTTTGGGGAAGAAAAATGAATGGACATAGAATAGCAGCTTTCTCCAGTTTATATTAAACCATGTAAGTAATTTAAGATTTCAACTTATTACCCCAATTTATTCTTAAACTAAAACAATTTTCATTAAAATGCCTTTGGTCCTATCAATTTTGAAATTGAAAACAGCTTTTAAATGCTGTGGCTGGTAGCAGTTTAGATTGGCACAACCCATTTTCAGGTAATGAGTCAATTACCTTTGGCCACTCACTCCCCTAGATTCAGAAGCTTCTCTTAAAGTGGATAGCCACTGGCTTGGGGATTGCATTTGCAATATTCCTAATATTTCAGTAAGATAAGATCCTCAGAATGCGATGCTACGACCTAGCTTTGCACTAGAATCCAGAGGACTGGAGACCACAAAGAAGCCAACATGAGACTGCCAAATAAGAAAAGATAGTTACAAAGAAAAGGACCAACTGAGAGAAAACAAAGTAAAACAAAAGTAAATCAACAACTAAATTTAAACAAGCCTGTAAATAAAATGAAATCTAATGGTATGAAGCCTTCCAAATCAACAATTTGAAAAAAAATTTTGCTCCAGATAAAATTAAGTTTATAAACTAATCCAAGAAAATATTAAAACACATATTATCTAGGATGCTTGAATTCATACACTAATGTCTTTTTTATCAAAAGTTCACCTTTTATCCAGAAAGGAGAAGAGAGAAGGAGCAGAGTAGAGGCATGGAGAGGGAGGGAGAAAGGAGAGAGAGAGAGAAAGGTTAGGAGAGACATACCAGAGCCAAGGCTGTTTTTACCTAGATGGCTGTCCTGAAACTTATCTAGATGAATAATTTCATATCTTTTTGGCCAGAGATAATTCTAGAATATAAATGTCTAAGATAGATATTTGTAACAATAAGCATATGTTCTGAAATTATAGATACTATGTGTCATTATTTCATTGCATACAAAGGACTTTGCATTCAAGGAGAATCATTTCTCTAGGAAGCTCAAGGCATTTTATAAACCAAGCAACCGCTAGAGTAAGCATAATAATTCATTGTTAATAGAGAATACTCTCAGTTAGCAGGTAGAAATTTCTTTAAACTTTGAAAATAGCTATAGACTTCCCTTTCTCAAATAAACCCCTCTTTAAAATACAAGACTGTTGAATAAGCCATACTGCAGGAAACCATGCAAGATTTGTTGAAATAGGAAAGAGCGAAACTCCATCTCAAAAAAAAAAAAGGAAGAAAAAGAAAAAAAGGAAAGAGAAGTAGGACTCTGTTTAGATTTCTTACTTACTACTATGAGTTTTCAGAAATCTTGGATACAGCAAAGTATCAAATGTCAAAGTAAAAAAAATGAGAAGCACAGTTTTAAAAACAGCAGTGAATTTACCAAATTATCTCCTTTTCCATCCCCCGATCCATTTCCACACACTGCATCCTGCTTTGTGCCCTAGGAGGGCAATCTCTAGGGATGCATCTCTGGACCCCTTTGCCTTCCAGCTTCCTGTTGGTTTCAGCCACACAGGAAGAGGCTCCATCCAGCAGGCTGTCATGGGGCAGAAGCAGAGAGGGGTGGGATTTCATTACCCTGTTCCCTCCCCGTTGGGCCACTGCCTGGATGTGGCTGCTCTCCCTACAGCCAGAGGTCCTGTCAGGTAGCCCCATCCATGCTTCAGCTCTCATAGGCTGCAGTCCCCTTTAGCCATTTTTTTTTTTTTTTTTTTTGCGTGGCTTCACCCTGCCGTCAGCCCTGCAGGGCTCACCATGCCTTATTACTATTTCTAACACTGCCCACTCCCTGAGAAATGCGCTGGTTATTAATGACTTCTGAAATACTCCTTCAAGTGGGCCCTCTGTTTCCCGCCGTGGCTCTAATTGAAAGAATGACTTTTTTGTGTGTGTCTAAGTCTGTTTGGGCTACTGTAACAGAATACCATAGACTGTGTGGCATAAAAACAACAGAATTTTGTTTCTCACAGTCCCAGAAGCTGGGAAGTCCAAGATCAAAACACTGGCAGATTTGCTGTCTGGCAAGGGCCCACTTTCTGGTTCACAAACAGGGTCTTCTTGCTGTGTCCTCACATGGTGAAAGGGACAAGGGAGTTCTCTGGGGCCTCTTTTATAAGGCGCTAATCCCATTCACGAAAGTTTTGTCCTCATGACCCAATCACCTCCCAAAGGTCCCATCTCCTAATACTATCATATTGGGGATTAGATTTCAACACATAATTTGGGAGGAGGGCAAAAACATTCAGTCTATAGCAATGCACTTTAATCTTGTTACCAGGGTATGCCAAGAGAAAAGCACCAGTAGTGCACCCCGAGGGTGCTTATCTTTCTGAGATCAGCTTTTTCTTTTCCAAATGGGAAAACTATCTCATTGTGCAGAAATCCACAATGATAATGTCTACACCAGAGGAAAAGTGTTTGAAATCTTGCAAACTCTGTGTGGTTGTAAGCAGTGAGAGATATAGAGTTTGAGAGCTTGGAGGAGGCTCTGCAGAAGCAGTGGTGATGAGAAGGTGCACCCAGTGTGCAGAGAATAAGAAAAAGAGCAAAACAGGCCGGAGGGGAGGGAGACACTGGGAGCTTATGAGGACCAGGTGCAATGCCCTTGAAATCTGCCAGGGGAGTCTGCAAGTCCACGCTTTACATGCTCAGCAGGGGCAGAAACCCTGCCTGAGGTGAGAGCTGATTCATTCTGAGAGATCACTGGAGACAAGGAGGGGGCAACCTAAGCAGACAGAAGACATGATAAAATGAATGTCAACAGCCCCTCTTGGCTGAAGGACAAATAATAATTCCTTAGGGAAGAGAAAGGACCACTGGAACTCAACTCAGTGTCATAAAGTTCACCTAGAGGCAAAATGTCAGACATCTGTAGTTAGTAAAATCATTTAATTTAAATGTTCAGCAAATCTAGTTATAGTATGACCTGTAGCATCCTCACTGAGTCCTTCTCAAGCTGCACGGCTGGTCTTAATAGCTCCCTTTTTAAAACCCAGAGAGGCTATATTTTTGTATCTGAAAATATCTGATGCCAGGTGGACTAGGCCAACCATCTGTTTATTTAATGGGTGCCCAGAAAGGGAGAGAATGTCCAGCCCACTTGTCAGACAGAGGTAAGGGGACACAAAATTCATCTCTGCATACAGATTTATACTTTCAGAAAAAGGAAAGTAGGGAACACACAGAATTGTAAAAGTTTAGAGCATGGAGAAGGCACAGATACCTCCTGTGCCAGCTTCCTCACCTGCCATTTTACAGATGAGGAAAGTGAGGTCCCAAAAAGATTAAGGACTTCCCCACTCTCACAAGATCAATGCTAGAATACATGTTTCTATAGTCCCAGCACATTCCTGTCTAGGCAGGATAAACAGCCCGGATAACATCTAATTCTCTGGGTCCGCCCCCTGCAACAGTTGGAAGATTCTTGGATTCTTGCAAATACGAAGACCTCTAAGGTCAGTGAGGATGTCCACATATCTCCAGTTCACATTGCTGCATGTACACGCTGTTAACATTTCTTGAGAGTATATCAACTGAAGATACTTCACTTTTTTCTCCAAGACAAATCACAAGTTTATTGCAAGTAACAGAGCTTCCTTTGGATTTCTACACAAGGAAAAATAGCAATGGCTAGACTCAAACCCGGACCCTTTCATGGGGCCACCTAGTCAACTTGTTTGCTGCAAGCAGTTTGGCTGGTGGACTAGAAATTGTTTTGTGAAGTGAGATGACATTTAATAGTCACATTCTTGTTTCATGAAAACCCTTTCCAAAATAGCTATTGAGAAAGGAAACCATTCTTACTGGAATGTTTACAAATCAACTTCACAGTCACTTCACTGGACCTCCCTTGACATCTGTTGAACATCTGTGTGACCTCCCTTGTCCTTGAGTCTGGGAAGAGAAGGCATTTGTTCCACATGTTCCAACTGAATGCTAGGACCACTGCAGATGATAGGCAGGCTGAGCTCTTGAAAAAGAACATAACCAACAACTATGCTAGAGATTCCTGGGTTTTCCTCAGATTAAACACACACACACACACACACACACACACACACACACACACACAGGCACGCACGCAGTTTTGAAGAGAGATATATCTCTTTAACCTCATCAACTAAATAGAAAGTCTAAAGTTTGCAAATATCAATGGCTGGGCTGGCAAAAATTGGCTAGCTAAACCAGGTGTCTATCAGGACCAGAATAGTGAGATAATAGTAACAAAAGAACAGGTCATACTGGTTAAGTCTAGAGTCAAATATCCAGGGAGACACTTGGGACTGGATAAAGGCCAAGGACTTGGCTGAAGAATGACGCCATATAGCAGGGGAATTAGTTCAGAGGTAGATCCAAAATACAGAAATAAGTCCATAGGGAAAAGAAGACACATTCTAACATAGTTATCAAAAATTCCAAATGGAGAGTCCAAGTTCTATTCTATTTCTCTAAAGGGTCAAGGTCAGTCAGGGATTGTTGAAAGCACAAAAGGACTAGGGATAACTTTTTTAGAGAAACAGCAGGCAGCAGGTAGAAGAGAATTGGTCATGGGAAGGCTTTATGTTTTGTAACTTCCTGGCAAGGAAAGGAGACTACACAATTCCTAATGCCTTTTCTACTTCCAATCTTCTTTGCCTCCTTCTGTGGGTCTCAGATTGTTCAGGCAGGTACTGAAGACCAGATTCCAGAGATTAGAAAACCAAGACCAAAGAGGCAGTGATTTGCTTCCAGCCACTCAGCTAAAGAATGGCTCCTCCCAAACTAGAGCCAAGATCTTCTAGCAGCAGTGATGCCAAAAGAGAATAAGATAAAAAGTTTAAAAAAAGAAAATTGGTCCTGATTCTATTGCTTAGATTTACCCCACCATCTCCCTAATTTCCTCATTTATAAAATGGAGTTAATAAAAGCTATTTTTAGGATGGTTATAAAAAGTAAATAATATGTGTATAAGTTATAGAGCAACAAGGTATACAAATGTAATGTATGCTTATGTCTACCTCATTACTATAATTTTTTAGAAGTCTTTAGTGAACAAAACTAGTTTCAACCTACCATAAAAATTTTCAGATAGATTACACCAGAAATTCTCATGCATGCCTCAATTTCAAAACAATTTTTCTTCCACTGAAAAAAAAAACCAACATTAACAAATAAAAAGATATTGACTGCCTACTATGTGCAGGCCCGTCATGTGCTGCACAAACTCAGACGATCTCAGTGTCATAAATGACCTCCTCCTTCTAACAAACAGCTAGAATATGGCCACTGCAGAAAAGTGTATGATGGCAGTAAAGCATTTTATCACAACAAGAAACATGACTCCAAAAGTCTTTGAATGTTTCTCGGAGTGGTGAGAATCAGCCTTTTCAGGCATTCCCAGGCTCAGATAAGTGATCCCCATGTATGCTCCTTAGACAGAGATCTATGACATAGCCCTTACGTACAGCAGAGTGTCTGTTGAGTTTCAAAAGGCTTAAATAAGGGATCTCACTACTTCATAAATCTAAAGCTCAACAGGCACTATTTTTCATATTTGCCCCAAGCCATATTATCACCACCATCACTATTAATCAAGGGCATCATATTGAGATGTGCTTTCTTTTGCATGGGGAACTTACATATTTCTAGTCATTAGGGAGCACAAGATAAAAAGTGGTTTTGGTGTGCCCCTCCATTTAGATAGCAAAATGGTTTTACTTTTGGCTTGAGGATATAAGAGCCAGCTTGTCCAAATCCTCCAGCCTGTCATCGTGGCTTAGAAGAATTAAGCAATCTCAACACTAGACACTTAAAGCCATTTTTAAAATGTTTTATAAAGGCGAAAAAACAACTGGACACCACATCCAAAAAGGGAAAACACAGAAGTGATGCCTATTGCCCATCTTTTTATTCTCTCATCCTGGACCCTGTGTTGAAGACCATCCTTGTGGTCTGAGCAGTTCTTCCTCACTGTGTAGAAGATGGGGGGGATATTTATGACCCCCTGAGCTGTGATTTGGTGGCTGCTGTGCTCCTCATATTTTAGGCTGCTGATTCCCCAAGTGAAGCCATTAGGGGTCCATTTGAGCCCCCCACGGCCACATGTACAGATGGATGCTTGACTTAATCCTCTCATCACAATCCTGACCTCAGCCGGAGCTCCTCCTTCATTGATCTCTTGCTGGATTACTTCCTTTTAAAGCTCAGTCTGAAGGGCAGGACCTAATCCTTACAGGTTCAATTGCTTTTTCTTACCTAAGAAGACAGTTTACTTTTGGTTATGCTACAAAGGAAAATGTTTAGGTTGTCAGGTCTTAGGAATCACCATAAAATTATCTCTAATTTATTGGACATTTTAAACTGAAACAGACTTAGACTATAACCTTAAGCATTAGCAGCCTTACTTTGAACTTTCTTCCGAAAGGACTGACCCCTCACAATCATCTGTAGAAATTTTTCCTATACAGGCTGACAAGTAATTTCCTTTTTCCCCACCAACTCCCATCCTATGAGATAATAACAAATGGAATTTTATAAAGCCCTCTAAGCAGAGAAAAAAATGTCAGTCATCACTTCTGCCTTAAACAAACAATGCACCAATGTAGCCAAATTCTTAGCCCTTTGTCGTGTGGGTCAGATCGTGGCTACAAATGCACAGAGCCTGGCCGGAAGTCAGCACTCCAGCTATGATAAAGTGATGAGACTTGGGTACAGGGAGGGCTTTCCCAGCTGTTCACTGTGATAGGGGTTTCTCAATTGGAAATAAAGCCCACAGGGACAGAGCTGCTGCAGTCACTCAGATTGTGCCCTGCACGAGCGTGCCTGACCAAGGGATGAGGGGGCTGAAATCAAGACCATAAGCTGCCCACCTTAAGCCCAGAAAAGCTATATTTTAAAATTCACCCAAAGCCCCATTCGTTTGGCAAAGCTTTGGTTCACAGAGCTGCCAGGCCATCCTCATTTAGGATCCAGGGAGGGTCACTGGACAGAACACAAGGCTCCCAGCCTCCCTCCTTGACTGACTGCCCCTACTCAGCTCAGCCACTCCCTCTGATCAGCCTTTACAGAGGAATGGAGAGAAAGGAGGTAAGAAAAGAAGAAAGGAGGAGAGAGGAGAGGAAGGTAGAAAAGGAAGCATTTTTGCTCAAAACTAATAGAGATCATGACCAGCTTCATGCAGCCCACCCTGGACAGTTTCCTAGAGTGTGTCCTTTTGACCTTGGCAAACCAACCTTCAGCACCATGTCTGTCTCCAGTCAGAGGCTGAATGGGATGCTGCAGCTCTGGTTGCCAGTGTCTAAGACCAGGCCATCACCTCGATGCTCCATCCTCACCTTTCTTTGTGCCATTTCCATGCATATACACAGCCCTCCCTCCCCAGCTATGGAGCCAATGCAGAAACCCAAGTAGGCTCTTAGAAAAGTTATAGCAAGAGGGAGAACAGAAATTCTCTGATGGATGCAATATTCTTCTCTGTCTACAGAAGTTATTTGTAAATGATTACTCACCTCCCTGTCTTTCAGGGAGCGACATAAAATCGGAATAGGCTTGCTTGGCTTGCAAAGCCTTTCTTGGTCTGCCATGACCAGCCTAACTCATCAGCCTGGAGAAAAGGTCTTCAAGTACAAGGAGGAAGTCAGAGCTTCCAGTATTTCTTTTCCACAGCCCTCTTTCCCTGTGTCCTTATACCCAGGAACCACACAAAAGTTTCCTACCCTGCATTTTCAGAAGTACTCATCCATTATAATTGGATTCCCCAGTTCTCAATTCTTTGACAGAAGCTGCAGGCACCAGCCTCCCTTACTATCATTTACAAGTTGTTACCACCTACTACAGTCTTCGGAATTCTGCTCCCTAACCTTCCCTGCACTGCACTGATGCTCTGACAGCACTACATTGCTCTTCACTCCAGCTGTCCCATGGTTGAGTCAAAACCTGCATTCTTCTCTGGTGCTCTCTTGCCTTGATCTCATTGCAATGCTTATCTCTACCTCCATGTTACTCTACTGAAACTATAAGCTACTTAAGGAAAAGTACCATATTTTATTCAACTCTGAATTCCCAGCACTGAGCACAGTGACTAAGCACAATTTAGATTTGAATGAATTTAAATGAGAAGAACGAAGTGGTAGCTACAGAAGAATTTGCAATCAATAATGTTTCCTTCCTTGCTTCCTTCTTTCCTTCCTTCCCTCACTCTTTCCTTCTTTTTTTCTCTTTTTTTTTTTTTTTTTTTTTTTTGGAGACAGAGTCTTGCTCTGTCGCCCAGGCTGGAATGCAGTGGCTCAATCTCGGCTCACTGCAAGCTCTGCCTCCCAGGTTCAAGTGATTCTCCTGCCTCAGCCTCCCGAGTAGCTGGGACTACAGGTGCCTGCCACCACACCCAGCTCATTTTTTTATTATTTTTTTTTATTTTTAGTAGAGACGGGGTTTCACCGTGTTAGCCAGGATGGTCTCGATCTCCTGATCTCGTGATCCACCCGCCTCGGCCTTCCAAAGTGCTGGGATCACAGGCGTGAGCCCCTGCGCCCAGCCTCTTTTTTTTCTTTTTCTTAAGAGATGCCTAAACTGACAAAGTAGAGCCCTTTAGGCTGAATGAAAGACAGTAAAGATAGATGGCAACCTGGATAAAATGTTTATGGATGAGGAATAAAAAATTGAGGGTTACCATAGTGTCTCACTTGATGAAAACAAACAGCAAGTCCACAGTGAGCAAGGAGCTTCTTTAGAGGGGCAGTAGAATCCTAAGACACCTACAAATTGTGGATCCTAGTATTAGAGTTATTCAAGTGTTCAACTACTCAGGACAGGCTGGGTAGATAAGAAAAGTAAGAAAAGGGGAGCTGATTAACTGGCAGGAAGCAGACAGATCAAGGAACTAGAGGTCTCTGGGAAACAGAAGAACAGGAGTTGTGAAACAAAGCATTCGTTTCTTGAGCGGATGAGACCCTGACCAGATCTCTGACACGAAGTGGTTCCAAGTGATGCTGAAGAGTGGGTGCTAAAATAAAAGAGAAAGGTGAGGCCACCAAGTGAGGAAGTGAAGGAATGTAAGGCCCAGGTACAGATCACATTACTCACATGGATTGTGAAGTCACGCAGGTCTTGTAAGGGAGGGGAAGCTATGGTACAGGCATTAGACCTAAAGGAGCAGTATCTACCTATGGGTGAAGGAGAAAGGTCCAGTATGTACATGGAGGAAGTCAGAGCTTCCAGTATCTCTTTTCCACGACCTTCTTTCCATGGGTCTTTATGCCCAGGAACCACACAAAGGTTTCCTACCATGTATTCTCAGAAGCACTCTATTAGAAGCACTCATCCACTCCAATTGGACTTCCTGGTTCTCAATTTTTCATTTAACAAAGGCTGCAGGCACCAGCCTTCTTAACTTTCCTTTACAAGTTATCATGTACTAGAGCCTTTGGAATTCTGCTCCCTAAAATTCAGCTATGGAGGATCATGCTCTCATGCCATGCTAGCCTAGAATGCACGTGCTCTTGTGCCACAAAAGAACTCTGTTGAAACACTGGATCCCAGGCAACAACAGAGCAAAAAGGGTGAGACATGGGAACACATGCTGTACAGAGAAGCTCTATCAGAAAATAGCATGTTACAGAGTTGGCAACCTGGAGAGATGTGATAGGTCAGAGCCACAGGAGAGAGAGTAGGAGCTCACACCATTGATCACTTGATAGCAGCTCAAGGACATTCACTTCAACATGAGAATAAACATAGCTCACTTTTTGGAAGCTAACAATTTGATTAACATATGGCAAACTATGCTGAGAAGGTCATCTGTTTTCAACTAAACTGAAAACACTGAAATTAAACATGTTGTTGGGAAAACGTTTTCAAAAAATGTCCAGATATTTTAGTTCCTAGGGCCTCCTTTCTGTGTCTTTGCCATGTCTTTGATGTGTGTGGGTTCTCAACTAACCTGTTCTGAGAGTTTATTAACAGCATCTCCTGGCTTTTACAGATGAGGAACTAATGCCAAAAGAGGGAAACTGGTTTGCTTCAGATCATATAGCAGATGAGGAGCAGAATCTGAACTAGACCCTATTCTCATAACCACTAATTCAGACTTTTTTCCAACAGAATGTGATCCCACTGGAGGGGAATAAACAATTCAGTTCTGCAGAAGTGGCTTTTTCTCCCAAGTAATTTGACAGCAATAATGTTTCTGTTATTATTGGACATTAGTATTAGTATTAGTATAAAGGAATACAACAGAATAGAATGACCAGAAATAGACCAACACCTTTATGGACTTTTGGTTACTACAAAGGCAACACTGAAGACCAATTAAAATGGGGCATTTTTAAATAAATGGTACTCTTTTCCACATAGAAAAAAGTAAACTTTGACCTTTATTACACACCAGGCCCAAAATTCAATTACAGGTGATTGTGGGTTGACATTTAAAGAATAAAACAATAAAGCTTTAAAACACAACACAGGATGATACCTTTATGAAGATGGTTTAGGCAAAGATTCCCTTAAAAGGATACAAAAATCAATAACCTAAATGGTAAAAATGGATACGTTGGACTTCTTTAAAATTAATAAACTTTCACGTATTAAAGACACCTAGTCAAAGAGTACAAAATGTTTGAAATACATATAATTGACCAAGAACTCATATTCAGAATGTATGAAGAAGTTCTGTTATAAATCAGTATGACAAAGGCAAACAAGCCAATTATTTTTAAATTGTAAAGTATTTAACTAGACACTTCATTATAAAGGATATTCAAATGGTCAAGTATATAAAAATGATACTCAACATTACCAGTCATCAGGGAAATGCAAATTAAAACTCCAGTAGGATACCACTGCATACTCACTACAATGATGAAAATTAAAAAGATAGACAATTCTAATATATTGCTAGAGGGAGTATAAAATCAATCAACCATTTTTAGCAAAATCAAAGTTATATTTATGCATATCCTATTATCCCTAGGTATACACTCAAAAATTGTACACATTTTCCAAGTACTTTTACAAGAATGTTCTAACAGCATAGTAACATAAAACTGAAAAATCAAAATGACATCAACAATAGATAGGATAAATTAGTCATGTTTTACAAAATTGAATACTTTTCAACAATGAAAATGAAAAATATTGTTGTACTTGTATTTCCCAGGAGATCCTCATCACAACTGAGCACTTGAATTAATGAACAGCCAGCATATCCTACAAGGCCTTCATAGGAGAACATTACAAGGAAGAGGTGACCTTGACTCCTGCCCATGACCCTGAAGTTGGGGCTGGATTTGTGCCATGCCCCAACAAACTCATGAGGCCACCTTCCTCTGGGGAGGGCTCTGAAATCCCTGGGAATTTGGCAGCCCCTGAGAATCTCAGAAATTTGGAAGACTTAGAGGTCATCTAATGCATACTTTCAGTTTATAGAAAGAAAAGATGAGGCTCAGGAAAAGAAAGAAAATGAGGGTCACAAGCTGACCAGTGGCACTACATTAAAACTGTCTCCTTCTCTTGGACACATTTTCCATTTGCAATGAGCCAAAGTCATTAGGAAGTCGAAGAACAATATTGGTAATGAATTCAACTCACATCTGTGGTTAAAAGAAATAGCCTGTTTGATGTTTTGTGTTTCAATATTCTGTGTACCAATAAAAATGCATAACTGCAGAGAGACTCTATATTGCCGTATGTGGGCATAATAGAGATTTACAGTCTGCAAAGGAAATACCAAGATTCCCTGGCACAGAAAAAATCAGAAATTAAAACAGCATCATCAAAACCAAACAAAGAAACTTCCCAGCTGTACTGGCCAACCAATCAGAAATTGGCATAGTCCTTAATTCATCTTTTAATTGCTTAATCAAGGACCTTGGGAATACATTTATGAAAACTTAGATCATTCCATGCCCTGATCTCACAACCTTGGTAGTGCTTTCTAGGGACATAAAATTGCGTGATTAAATTTGCACTCTGGTGTTCCTGCATCTGGAGGTTCCACATGCTGGAACTCATCCTGGTTGAGCAAAACCTAGCAGGTTTTTATTGACAGAGTAGAGAGTGGTGGCCAGGTTTCATTTTGCACCCACATCTACAACAGGGTTTCTCAACCTTGGCATTGTTGACTAGATAATGGACTGTATAGTTCTTTGCTATGGGGCCTGTCCTGTGCATTGTAGGCTGTTTAGGAGCATCCCTAGACTCTAGATGCCAGTTACACCACACCCCTAGTTGTGACAATCAAAACTGTCTCCAGACATTACCCAACACCCCCTGTGGGGCAAAACTACCCAGGCATATTAGTCTGTTCTCACACTGCTATAAAGAAATACCTGAGGGCCGGGAACGGTGGCTCATGCCTGTAATCCCAGCACTTTGGGAAGCTGAGGTGGGTGGATCACCTGAAGTCGGGAGTTTGAGACCAGCCTGACCAACATGGAGAAACCCTGTCTCTACTAAAAATACAAAATTAGCCAGGCATGGTGGCGCATGCCTATAATCCCAGCTACTCGGGAGGCTGAGGCAGGAGAATCGCTTGAACCCAGGAGGCAGAGGTTGCGGTGAGCTGAGATGGCACCATTGCACTCCAGCCTGGGAAACAAGAGTGGAACTCCTTCTGGAGAGAAAGAGAGAAAGAGAGAGAGAGAGAAAAAAAAAAAAGAGAAAGAGAGAGAAATACATACCTAAGACTGAGCAATTTATAAAGAAAAGAGGTTCAATTGGCTCATGGTTCCACAGGCTGTATAGGAAGCATGGCTGGGGAGGCCTCAGGAATCTTACAATCATGGCAGAAGGTAAAGGGAAAGCAGGCACGTCTTACATGGCCAGAGCAGAAGAAAGAGAGGAGAGGAGAGGTGCCACATACTTTTAAACAACCAAATCTCATGAGAACTCTATCACAAGAACAGCACCAAAGGGGAAATCCATACCCATGATCCAGTCACTCCACACCAGATACCACCTCCAACATTGAGCATTACAATTTGACTTGAGATTTTGGCAGAGACACAGACCCAAACCATGTCATCAGAATTTAAATCCTTGGTCTATCCGCATGCAGCTGAGATTTGACTTTCACTCATGAGGTACCCAAGAAACATTGACAAGAAGGAATAGTAGTAAAATAAACATTAAGAGCTACCATTTCCTTAGTGCCACCTATATAAAAGGCACTGTGCCAGGTGCTTTACATGCATTATCTCATTTATCCCCATAATACCCTGAGAGGCAGTGGATCAGTCAATAGTCTCAATTGCTAAAACAGTACACATCCTAAGTAGTTTAAGCAGAAGTAAAATGTAATTTATGAGATATATATAAATCTCACAAATGTAGATCTGAATCTCCAGGCATCCCAGAAGGTCAAATTAGAGCTTTGCAGATGGGAATGACACCCAAGCCACACTGCAGGAGTGCTCCAATAGGCACCTCATTGCAGCCTCCCCTGGGCACAGGCATCAAACACCATATTATGCCATGGCCTATACTGTGTACACTGAGTTGGACCAGAATAAGGTGGCCTCAAGAATCAAAGCCTCTGCCACTACAATCTCTAGAAAATTCATTGCTCCTCCTGTCCTTTTTCTCATAAATACAGTTTAAATCAGTACCTCTCCCCAGCCATTTGATTTGACAGAACCTTTATCACATGCCTATACCAGAGCTGTAAGAGAAGCTGGAATAATGATTTTCTCAGGGAATTAGGAATGATGGAGGTTCCTCAGACATGGGAAGTATATTCAAAATCTCCTGAATGACTATACTACAGGTAGATGCCCATTTAATTTATGAGGAAACAGGCTCAGAGAGTTTAAGTAATGTGTTTAACATCATACCTACTATGTGAATTCAAAACCAGCTTTTCTATTTTTAGCCAATATTATTTTCTATATAATATCAATAGCCCAGGATCCCTACCTCTCCTTCAACCCTTGGCCTTGATTACTGGTTCCTGAGAAGCCCCTAGTCTGAGATGTTCTGAGGTTTTTCCCAATCTAGATTTTTTGTTAAGCCATGAAAAAATGGTCTCTGGTTAGTACCTCCCTAAATGTCCTGCAGGAACCATGATGCGAACTATGTTGGCTGTGGTAGAGCTAGTAGTTTCCAGATGAATGAGGATGGGCTCTTCTCTACTTTCTTTGCCTGATACCTTCAGAGAAAGCCTCGCTTCTACAGTACAGAGGAAAAGAGGGTACATCAGGCTGCCCAACTGTGATGGACAGCCTCTGCTTTCTCCTCGTACTCACACCTTTGTGCAATACTTCCCCTGAATGGAGGCTGGAGCTGGTGACTCACTCCTAACAAATAGAATACAGCAAAAGTGAAGGAGAATCACTTCCAAGATTACGATACAAAATACAATGATTCCTGTATTGCTCTTTCTCTCTGGCTCTCTCTGGCTTTCTGTTACTTTATCTCAGGCTCTTTGAGAAAATCCAGCTACCATGTTGTCAACTGCCCTCTAGAGAAGATTACATGGAAGGGAACTGAGGACAACCTCCAGCCCATAACCAGCAAGGAATGGAGGCCCTCATCCAACAGCCCATGGGAAATTGAATCCTGCCAACCACTGCATGAATGACCTTAGAAGCAGATTTCCCTCTCCCCATCGAGCCTTGAGATAATCACAGCCCTAGATGACTCCCTAATTGCAGCCTCGTGAAAGACCCCGACCCAACGGCATCAAGCTAAGCCATGCTCAGATTCCTCCCCAACTGAAAATGTCAGATAATAAATGTTCCTTGCTTTAACTTGCTAAATTTTGGGATAATATATTACATAGCAATAAATAACATAACCGCTGAAAAAATGATCTATGTCCTCACCTGTGACTAATACTGTTGACCATGCATTTCAACTGTGTTTAATTGAACAAATATTTATTAAACATCTACTAACAAGTATCAAATATTGAGCAATTTCTAGGCATTTATGTTCCCACTAGGTTCTTAGTTCCTTGAGGGTGGGGATAATGTCATTTATTTCCCCAAACCCCAATTTATGCCTAGCACTAGTAGTCAGGGCTTGGTAGCTGAGTAAACAACTGAATTTACCCCACATTTATGGCTTACTTTATTCCCATTCTACATTTTAGCTCCACCCAAGTTACCATGCCTTCCTCATAGTCCTTTTCTTATCCTCTAGGTCTATTATGTTCTCCTGCTTGCAATGCCCTTACATTATCATCACCCTGATTATTCTTTAAGACCCAGTTGAAGCCTCAATTCTCCAAAAAGGACCTTGCAGACCATCCCAGTCCTCGGGAATCTCTTTCTCCTCTGAGGTCTGTGGCACTCACAGGTTACGACCTGATTGTTCTGATTCATAGATGTGTTAGATCAGAAGCTCTTTAAGGGAGCACCCTTTGCTTGTGCCCCTTCATATGTCCTCATTAGTATTTGGCATCATGCTGGGCTCAGGAAGCCTCAAGAAATATTGTTTGAACAAATGAGTGCCATTGAATCTGATAACAGCTATGCTTGGCCAAACACTCAAATGCTTTTTTTGTTTTTCCTCCCTTCATTTTTTTCATTCATAAAAGAATTACTGAGCTCGTTCATATACTCATCACTCTGCAAAGAATCAGGAATAGAAAGATTAGAATAGAAAGACAAATCAGACAGTTTATGTTCTCACGCTATTTTTGTTTTCAATGCTGCAGCAACAAATTACTACCAACTCGGCAGCTTAAAGAATAAAAATTTATTATCTTACAGTTGTGGCTTAGAATTCTGACATGCATCTCAGTGGGATGAAGTCAATATCTTAGCAATAATACATTCCTTTTGATATGGTTTGACTGTGTCCCCACCCAAATCTCATCTTGAATTGTAGTTCCCATATTCCCCCCCAGGGTGGGGGTGGGCCGTGGGTTCCCCCATCCTGTCCTCATGATAGTGAGTTAGTTCTCACAAGATCTGATGACTTTGTAGGGGCTTATCCCTTGGCTGGGCACTCATTCTCTCCTGCCACCCTGTGAAAGATGCCTTTGTCCATAATTGTAAGTTACGTGAGACCTCCCCAGCCATGCAGAACTGTGAGCCAACCTCTTTTCTTCATAAATTACCCAGTCTCAGGTATGTCTTTATCAGCAGCATGATAATGGACTAATACACCTTTGTAGATGTGCCCTTGCCTTTTTCAGCTTCTAAAGGCTGCCTGTAATCCATGGCTCCATCTTCAAACCCAGCAATGGTAGGTTGAGTCTTTCTCATGCTGCTGTCCCTCTGGTTCTCTGAAACCTGAAATATTCTTTACTTTTAAGGATTTGGTGATTAGCCTGGGATTACCTGGATAACAGGATAATCTTCACCTATTCAGGTCCTTAACTATAAACACACCTACAAAGTGTATTTTGCCAAGTAAGATAACATATTTCCAGGTTCCAGAGATTAGAGCGTGGTCATGGTTGGAGGCCTTTATTGAGGGGGGAAGTAGCATTATTCTTTGGGGGCTATCACTTAGGGGTTATTAACACCCCTTCTTTGTCTGTCACTACACCAAGTCAACCAACTTATGAATGGGTTTCCTGTGCTCCAATGGTTGTCTTATGGCTAGCAAGGGGTGTACTGAGACTTAGATGTGGACTTACCATTATGGAAAAGCAGAAGAAAACAGAACTTAGCTTAAAATTAAAGCCATATATGATGCAGATTTCAAGTTGGCTCTGCTTCTAATGAAAGCTGGAGTTGATCTGCTTGTTCCTGCATCAGTTGGTTTTCACCTCATAGTATTTTAGTTTGCCTCCCTTGAAAGGAGTGTAGGTATTATACCTTCTCTGCAGCACCATTCTCTGGCCACCATCACTCTTTTTCACCATACCTTAAAATCTTTTGTTGGACAGTTTAGATGTTCTATAGGAATCTCCTTGGTAATTCTATAGGAATCTGCCTGGAGCTTCAGTAAGAGGTTAATCTTGAAGATGGGTCCCCTGAGCATCCTGGAAACACGATTTATACTGGGAGGCCCAGTGGGGTCTTGGAAATGCAGTGTTTCTACAGCAAGAGGACATCGTTCTAGCCCACCCACCATCTGCCATTACTACTGTTCAGAATAGGGCATCCTCCTCACCTCTTGCTCCCAAGAATGTCAGGGCTCTTATTTCTTGGCTACATCTCTAACTTCCAGAAAAGAAGGGGAATGATGATTCTTATATGTGCTAAAAAATTAAAATAAAGATCCATGAGTTGTTCTCAATCCTGTACCCCACAAAGGTTGCCCATAGTTCTAACAAACCTTCCCATTGTGATTGTTTCCATTTGTTCAGACCTGGGTCTTTTGGGTTGCACATAAACTCACACCTCTTCTTCCTGGACAAGAGAGATGAAGCTCCTTTACTCCAACTCAACGTTTGATGTGAGCACCGCTCTCCTCCCTCCCACTTCACCCTACCTCAAGTTCTCCACATTGCTATAGGTAGTCAATAGACATCAATATTCTTCTAATTAAAGTGGAATGTAATCATACATGTCTGTAGGATTTAGAACTGAGGAATACCAAAATCTGGAAGCATCTTTGATACTCTCTTTTAATCTCCTCATAGAGAATGCCCCAGATATTTTATTCTAGTGGCTTTCTAAATACAAAGACTGGAGCTTTTCAAGTTCACTACAACCAGTACATCCACACCTATGCTTCCCAAGCTCCTCATATGTTATGGAAATGTGACTAGATGAGGTTCTGTTCATTCAGTGAATTGACCCGATGTCAGTCTCCTAAGCACACAGGCTTCCTGCACATGCTCAGACTCATTTTGATTTAACCAATTAAAAAAGAGACGCCTAAAGGGTTTGCATTAGCCTCAAGTTGTCTCCATTTCATAAATTCCTCCCTCTCATCAATCAGAAAACTATTTTGGTGCAGCAGAAAGAGCTAGACTTTCTAGCCGGGCCTAATGGCATGCACCTGTAGTCCCAGCTACTTGGGAAGCTGAGGTACGAGGTTTGCTCAAGCCTCGGAAATGGAGGTTGCAGTGAGCCGAGATTGTGCCACTGCACACCAGCCTGGGTAACCAAGTGGGACCCTGTCTTGAAAACAAAAAGAAAAAAGGAAAAGAAAGAGCTAGACTTTGGTACTCTTAGTTTGGGTCTCACTTCTGCATACTAGCTTCGCAATTTAGGACCAGTCATTTAGTCTCTCTGAGCCTCAGCTTCCTCCCTAGTAAGGCAAGGTTAGAAAACCTCATCTCACCTGGTGAATGTGATAGTTAAAGTTAGATCATGTACAGAGCAGCTGCAGTGCATTCTCACAGTGAGCACTCACTAGATAGCAGCTGTTATCAATATTGATTACTTTGCTTCTGTGGTGCTACAGAAACTAATGAAGCAGCTCCTCCACTTGATACTCAGTTACATCTAGAAGGGATGTAACAGGGCCACCAGAAAAGGACTCGACTTTGCTTTCCAAAAGCCTAAGAGGCCTTCAGGCAAGGCAAAATGTGGCAGAAACATTGTGATAAGGAACATGACTCTCTGCCTCCACCATCCTTAAAAATTTAGAGGAACCTCCCTGGACCAAGCAATGGGGTGGGCATGAGAGATGGAGAAGGTGGTGAGAAAATAGAGCAGGGAGATCGGTGGGGCCCAGAGAGGAGAAGACCAAAGGGGGCCAGATGTGCTGGAAAAAAGACATTCTTAGCAAGGGCCATGGTAGAAGTTTGAGATCCCAGTACATGATTGCAAGATTTTACAAAAAGAAACATAAAAACACTTTGTTTTCCTAAGTCCCAGCCCTTCTGAGTCTTACCCGTGACTTTAAAAAATGCACACAATTGACAAGGCGTGGTGGCTCATGTCCATAATCCCAGTACTTTGGGAGGCCAAGGCAGGCAGACCACTATGTCAAGATATCAAGACCATCCTGGCCAACATGGTGAAATCCCGTCTCTACTAAAAATAAAAAAAAAAAAGCTGGGCGTGGTGGTGCATGCTTGTAGTCCCAGCTACTCAGGAGGCTGAGGCAGGAGAATCACTTGAACCCAGGAGGTGGAGGTTGCAGTGAGCAGAGATTGCACCACTGCACTCCAGCCTGGGCGACAGAGCAAAAGTCTCAAAAAAAAAAAAAAATAGAGAAGGCACACAATTTCTATGAGCCTTAATTTCTGCATGTGAAAATTGAGGGTTTGAGATAAGTGACTCCCTCCATCTCTCAGATAATAACACGAATAGTAGTCATTATAATGTTATTGGGATTTTTATGTGTTACTTTAAAATCTTTCTAAGAGCCACATTTTCCACATCAGAAAACAGAGTCAAAGAAGATGAGGAACCTGACCAAGCTCACACAGCTAGAAAATAGTCGAACTAGAACACGGAAAAAGATCCATCTGACTTCAAAGCTCTTGGCCTTTTCATCGCAATGACCTCTAATAGAAACTAAAGAGGCAGCGCCCCTACCTGAGATCCGAGGATCCTGTGGTTCTTTCATATCCAGATACCCAGGAAGCAGCTGACACAAGGAAAAGTTGCCCCTTCCTGGAGTGAGGGTGGCACGCCTCGGCAAATGGCCACTGTGCCTCACTCTCACTCAAGTAAGCAGATTGTCTGAGCCACCTATGGAATTCAGGACTTTCCAGTTTACCTGAGGAGTCACCACCACTGGCTGGAGAGAGCTGAAACACCCAGCGCTTCTGGGTCTCTGACTGGAGCAGAGACAGAATGATTCTTCCGGTGTTCCTATCACACATCCTCTCTTTGTATCTGGATTGTGGGTCTACACTTGTGTGCAAAGCTATGGTTTATGAACACCTCTCACAGTTAAATACAAGTGGAATTTTTTTTTTTTTAAACAGAAACACCTTTTGAGTAGATGACCTGCCACTATCCAGGTGTGTGACATAAGAAAATTTAAAATCCTCTCAGCTTCAGCTTTCTTATTTATGAAACAGAAAGATGTCCACATTAATCACAGGTGATTAGTAAAATTCAGTAAGGGTAGAGTCAGTGCCTTGTTCAGAGGGAGTGACCTCTGAACTTTCATAGCTTTCCTAGCTTGTGTGTCAGAGCAGGCAAGGGGGTCAGCCTCTAGTAAAACTGGCTCCTACCTTCATCGAGCTCCCACAGCATGGTCTTGAACTCATTTCTCACTTCTCACTTCTTATCTTCTCAGACAGATAAGTCTCTACCATTGTATTGTGAGCCCCGAGGGTCAGGATCAAGTGGATTCCTGCCTGAGTCTCCTACAGCCAAGCACAGGACCCAGCCAACGGGAAACGTGAGCTCCAGCAGTCCCCATTTAATCTCTGCAGGCCCATGTGCCCAGGGCCCAGAACCAGTGGGACACTGAGAAGAGCCCCACCTGAGGCCAGGCTGCTGCAGCAGGCACACCTGTTCTTCTAGGAGGCCATTGGATACAGCACCCACCACATCAGCCCATCAGCCCTGGCTTCATGTGTCAGGTGAGACCCATCATCCCACCTAATCAACACCTTTTCCAGGTTCCACCCCTTCCCCGCTGTTTGAGAATAATAACTTTTGAAAGAAAAATGTATAAAAATGATTGTTATGCTAAGCAATCTATAGTACCCAGAAGAGCAAATCCAGAAAAATATTGTGCTTGTATCTTTTAATCTATATTTATATTTTTACAGTGTTTGCTTTTATCTGGAAAAGATACACTATATATGTTGTGAGCTGAACTGTGTCCCCCAAATTCCACTTATTAAAATCCTAACCCCCAATACTTCAGAATGTGACTATGTGGAGATAAGGTCTTTAAAACATACCTGCATACCCCATCGTCTGGGCCACCCCAAAACTGCAGGTAAAAAGCAGAGTTGTTTAAGGTCTTTAAGAAGGTAATTAAGTTAAAATGAAAACATCAGGTTGGGTTCTCGTGCCCTCATCAGAAGAGGAGGCTAGGACACAGACACACACAGAGGGAAGAGCATATGAAGACACAGGGGAAGGCTGGGGACATCCAAAGCCAAGGAGAGTGGCCCAGGAGAAGCCAACTCACCAGCACCGTGAGCTTGGATTTCAAGCCTCCAGAACTATAAGGAAATACATTTCTGTTTGTTAAGCCACCCAGTCTGTGGTTCTTGGTTATGGCAGCTAAAGCAGGTAATATAGTACAGCATATCAAATGTTTCTTGCAAAAATCCATCCTTCCATAAATATACCCTCACAGAATTCTGATGTTCACTTTCTGTTTCTAAACACTGTGAAATATTTTAATTTGGGAAACAAATGGACTATGTATACATTTGTGTACTGACTAATAAAAAAATGCATTCCAGTGTAGCCAGAATTACTTTCGGTGTTGAGAACCCCAGCACCAAACCCCTATTCACCCTGACTAATCCATTACAGTGATAAGCCCGGATACAGAAGGACTTGGAAGGAGCACTGGTCCAGTTTCCAGAAATGTTGGATGAGGAAGAAGAGAACGGGAAGGCGGTGGTGGCGGTGGTAGCGTCCTACACCAAGATAATGAAGCCAGAGAAGGTGAAGACGTTCTGAGGACTTTTTGAGAAAATCATCTTATCCAGTGTCCCCCTTGAACTGCACAGAGGGGGTGGTACAGTGTCATGAAAGTCACAGGGGTGGAATGTTTTGAGGAGGGCATGTTAGCAGCATCGAATGCTCAGTTCACAGAGAGATAGGTTGGTGGAGTGCCAAGGGAGGATTTAATAGTCTCAGAGAGGCCTGGCAGTCTGGGGGCAGGGAGTGGCTGGAATGTGCCCTGAGGCACATGACTTAATCTTGAGCCATAGTTTCCTCCGTTATGAAACAGTTCATAATCTCACCTGTCACACAAGGCTTTTGAGATGATCAAATGATGTAAATCCCCTGTGAACAAATCATTAGACTGTGAGTACAGTAGTCCCCCCTTATTCATGGGGGATATGTGTCAAGACCCCCGGTGGATATCTGAAACCACATAGAGTATGAGATCCTATATATACTATGTACAAATTTCTTTTTCCATCTTCACAATTTCTCAAATAGATTTGTTCTCACTGCAGTTCTTCACAACCTCAGCATATGATTTTGTTTCTTTATTAAGTTGAGAACTTTCACCTTTCACTTAAAGAAAGCACTTTATGGCTTCTCTTTGGCATATTCAAATTGCCAGCATCACTGCTTTTGCACCTTGGGCCATTATTAAATAAAATAAAGGTAACTTGAACACAAGCATTGCCATACTGTGACAGCTGATCTGACAACCTAGAGGGCTACAAAGTGACAGGTGGGGAGGGTAGAGAGCATGGAGACACTGGACAAAGAGAGGATTCATGTCCCCGGCAAGACAGAGCAGGATTACATGAGATTTCATCATGCTATTCACAATGGCAGACAATTTAAAACTTATGAATCGTTTATTTCTGGAATTTTCCACTTAAAATTTTCAGACTGCCATTGACCATGGGTAACTGAAACCTCAGAAAGCAAAACCAGAATGCGTTAACAGAGTAGGTCTATGTTAGGCACAGCTGCAAGCACAGCTGACTCCTTGGGCCACCATGAGGACAATCAGTTAATTAGCCCTGGGAATGACCTAACATAATATGACCTAATTTAGCCCTCTGTGTCGCCAAATGAAATCAGCTGCTTGCTTTTTGCTTTTATAAAACTGCTTGAAGCACTTTGAAATTATTTAGGATAAAGAAGGAAACAAGCTCTGAGTGGGCTTGCATTTGATAGAATTTCTCCTCCGGTTTAAAGCAGGATGGTCAAGTGATGCTCAGGCAAGAGACAACCCAGTGCTGTCAGCATTCCAGAGACACATGGACGTGCACACACACAGTGGCATTCACTCCCAGGCAGGATTACCTCCTCAGCTCCACCCCATCGCCTGGGCCACCCCAAAACTGCAGGTAAAAGGCAGAGTTGTTTGAAAGATAGAGCAGTGAGCCCAGGATAAGGGCCCAGTCCAGGGAGGGCAAGGAGAGCTCTTGTGAGAGCTCAAACCAGGAATCCAGAAGAGGCAGCCACCAGACCACTGAGCATCTGCACTTCTTGGAAGCAGCTCCCATTCTGCTCAGAAGGCTTAGCCAAGAGTGTAATTAACTTGCCAAGTGACCTTGAGTGAATCACTTCCCCTTCTTGGTCTCCTTTGTGGTGACAGAGGGCTACAACCCAGCCTCAGAATATCAGGACTTCCCACTCCATTGGTAGCTGTCCCTTGAGCCATATTCTATCTCCTCTGGGATTCCAGCCCTGGCCTCTGTATAAGGGACAAGCTCTGGTTTATTTTTCCCACAAACGTTATTTAAAGTTTCTAAGACATGGCCATGGCATGCCAGTCCAACCCATTCTGTCAATTTGACACTGAAAATGCCTCTCCATCTGTCTCTTCCTCTCCATCCCCCATACCCACTGCCACTTCCACGGGCTGGATAGCATTATCTCTCTCCTAGACTGTGGCCTCAACTCCCGAATGGCTTTTCTGCCTCCAAGCTCGCTCTCTCCGATCAATTCTCTGCATAAGCATCCAGAGGGATATTTCTGAAACAGAAATTTAATGCTATAATTTTCCTGCCTAAAAGTACCATATGAATAACTATTAACTACAGGATCAAGTCCAAGCATGTCATCCATAACCCTCCAAATTTTGCATAATTCTCCAGCCTTCCCTTCTATGTTGTACTCACTGCATCTTAGGCTCTGCCCAACTTCAACTTTTCACCATTTTCATACAAGAATAGGACTTATCTACTGATCCCTTTGACTCCAGTGAACCAATAAACAACGTTTTATTTGTTAAGCAGAGTAAACTTCCATTTTTCTGTACTCATTAGTTCCAGAATTTTAATGGCAAAGGCCATCTTACTGATGTTATCAAGACGGTCACCAGTCTGGGTCAATGGTTTGTCCCACTGCAGCACAAGACACATAATCAGAAGTTAATGAGCCCATCACTTCCTCATTAATTAATCACAGTACATGGTATAAATGCAGTTATATCAAAGTCCATTGTTTTGGGGCTCTTCTTTTGTGCATATATGAAATTTAATCTTTAGAGAACAAATCTGTAAGATTCAAAGTCCAAATGTTTCTTAATACCAGCTCTATATATTCAAAGAAAGGGAAGTCAGACCTCTTGCAATGAATTCTCACAATGTACAACTTGAATATCAAATTCCTCCTTGCACACCCCATAAATAATCTCCTTTCAAACCACCTTTTATTTAACAGACTTATCTTGAGATTTACTATGCAAAAGATTCCATCTTCAGTACAGTCTTTGTCTTGTATTATTCTTAGGAAGAGCAGTGAGCAATTGCAGAGATTGCACTTAACCTCTGTGAGATGCTGATCCGTGGGAGTGTCTGTCACATGGAAAGAAAAGCATTTGCCTCATTTTCAAGGAAATCATTTCCAATGAACTCCAGTGCCAATTTTGCCATCTTGTCCAAAGTCCCCTCAGCAAAGTGTCAGAGCAATGCAGACAAAGTTATGCAATCAGGCTGTCTTGAAGCCAAGCCACAGAGGCCAGGCCCTGAGCTTCAGAGAAAGATGGCAGAGCCTCACTGAGGCAAGAGGCCATCTCACCACAGGCTGCAGTGCAGATCTCCAGGAAGCCCAGACTGAAGCATCTCCAGCCAGACACAAGATTTGATGTAACACAGCTTACCTGGTACATAAATCACCAGTGTGTGAGAGGGTCTCAGGAAAGCAGACAACTTCAAGCTACATTCACAGAAAGACAAGCCTTTGAACCCAATTTACCTTTAATTTGGGGCCACTTAATGCCTTTCATCAACTCCCATTGTCTTAGTTTAACAAATGGAATCATAAATTATGCAATCAACAGCAATTGCACTTATTTGCAATTAGAATTTGTCAGTGCTCTGCCTATGAATAATTAATACTAGGATAACCTTGATGGAGCGAGTGCACTTTGGAGGGGTGTACTGAATATTTAGGAAGTCTCCATTTGTGATCTCCGTTTTGGGTTGAAATGATCAACTGGTAAATCTCTCCAAATAGCATTCAATCCAGCAAGTCTACAGTGTCTTGAGCTAGAAACAAGAGCCAAGGCACAAATAATTCCAAAAATTTGTGGCTGGAAAGATTGTCAATGGAACTATCGTGTTCTTGTGCATACCCACCGAATAAAACTCCCTATTTGATTCTGAACCAAGTTGAGGGAACTGTCTTTGGGAATCACATCTTCTTTCATCTGTAAAGTGAGAATGAAGAAATTTGTGACTCTTAAGTTCCATTCTGGATTTTAAATTTTTGAGACACCCAACTTTTTTTTTTTTTTTTTTTTTTTTTGAGACAGAGTCTCACTCTGTCACCAGGCTGGAGTGCAGTAGCGCAATCTCAGCTCACTGCAACCTCCGCCTCCCAGGTTCAAGCGATTCTCCTGCCTCAGCCTCCCAAGTAGCTGGGACTACAGGCATGCACCACCACACCCAGCTGATTTTTGTATTTTCACTAGAGATACGGTTTCACCACGTTGGCCAGGATGGTCTCAATCTCTTGACTTCGTGATCCTCCCACCTTGGCCTCCCAAAGTGCTGGGATTACAGGCATGAGCCACCACGCCTGGCAGAGACACCCAACATTTTTAACTGTAGTCCATGAGTCCCCAGTAGATCTATATATAGAACTATATTTCAATATAATTATTCTTGTTCAGCCTAATGTTTTATTTTATGTATTTATGTATTTAAAAACAGTATTCTGTGAAAGGACTGATCACCTTCACCAGAGTACCAAACAGACCCATGGTGCCAAAAAAGGTTGAGTCTTAGACAGGATGACAGATATATGCACATATGCAACAAACACATGAAATTTAATCTTAGTCCAACCAAAGAGAAAATGTGGGAGACAAATGATAAATCTACAAATAGCAGTGCTGGGAAGGACCTTTTCAATTGTCCATCCCAGGCCCCTAACCTCCTCATCTCCAGAGCGAGAATTCCTCTACAGCCCACCTGGCAGACCAAAAAGTCCATTCCCAACCACCTCACGTAATTCATCTGACAATCCTGTAAGGTGGGTGCATCACTATCCCAATTCTACCAGTGAAACTGACCCTTGGAGAGGGTAATTGACTTGCTCAAAGCCTAGAGTCAGCCTTCTGACTTCAAATATTTGCTATATTACTTTGCCATGTTAGTCACCAGACTTGGATACATTAAATAAAACTTTATCAACAAAATCCAGGAATGTGATTTATAATTATAGAAAAATTAAACTCAAATCTAAATATCTTATAGTGGGGGAAGTGGTGAATTCTTTCCTTCATAGGAAAATAACCAAAAATACCCATTTTCCAGGCAGATGACAGAAATTGCCAAAACCATTCCTATGTCCCCATCTGAGGTAAGAATGCATTGTCTGAGATCCTGGGGCCACAACAACAAAAGGTAGTGTAACAACTGAGTCACCATCTTCTATAGATGCAAAGAAATGCTTTAATTCTCAGCATTTCTGTGATACGTTTCTAAAATGAAGTCTTGGTCAGAAGTTCTAACTTATGAGAAAATGAATTTTAAACACTTGTTTCTTGCTGAACTCCGCCTGTGATACAAAGGGCTGACCTCTAAGGACTGAGGGGATCTTAGCCTCAGAATATTCCAACTCAAGCACACAGAAGAGTTCAATTCAACAACTTAGTGGCTGCCTACTACCGAACAGCAAGAATATGCCAAGCACTGAGCTCCGCACCCTGAAAGGGTAGTGAATAAGATATAAATTCATAGGCCAGGAAAGAAAGAAACACATAAAAAAATAATTGCAATACAAGACAGGATGTGCCGAGGCTAATGCAGGAACACACCAAGGAAAGAGAGATTCATTTTGACTGGTAAAATAGATGAAGGATTCATGGATTGGGGACCTAGGAAATAGCCCTCAAATATATCCCCTTCCCTCCATTTCCACCACCAAGTGAGGTATAACAAGACGGTAAAGGATACACTGCAAACATGCAGAGATGTCCTAGGGAAGAGGGGAGGTACAAAGTCAGGGAGGGAGTTGCAGGCAGGCCTAAACAGATGACCTCACTGTCACAAAGGACCAGATACAGCAAGAGAAGTTCACACCATACCTCATTGCTGACGAGGAACCAAATGACATTTTAAATAGAAGATTGACATTTTAAATAGAAGATTCACAAAATCTGATTTTTTAGAAAAGTCACTCTTGGGGATGAGTATTTGGGAAGGATGGTGGGGCTGAGGAATTAGAAGCATAGGGGCCACTTAGGAATGAAGACAGTTAGGAATGGACTTGCTAAGAGCCTGACATTCAGCAGCAGCTGGGAGACCGTTGCAGATTTATTATATTGAATCCAAAGCTGCCTCCAGGTAACTTTAATGAAGGTATTGTTCTGAAATTTTATTCAGCAAAAGAGAAGCTAATGTTTTATTGAGTTACACTTGATACTTCTTGGACAGGTCCTTAATATAGAAGAAAAATGCAAACCATAAAGTAGATACTTATGTTAATCATCTGGAAAGTTCAGCTCTCCAAATGTTTTTAACAATATGGCTGTTTCATGTGGAAAAATGGACTTTAGCGTGAAGTACCCATGGCATGTCTTAAAACTCAGTGAAGCCAATCCTGGGTCATTATTTTGTGGAAATACCTAACTTCAGTCATGCTACTCAGTCTTTAATTTCACACTGTACAAAACATGAAAGAGAGGGAGAGAGTGGGGGAATGGGAATGGAGGAGGAGAAGAAAAAAGAAGATAAAGAGGAAAAAAGAGGAGGAAAGAAAGAAACTAAGGGATAGAGACAGAGAGAGAGAAAGAGGGAGTGAGGAAGACAGAGAATGGACCGATGGACCAGGGAGCTAATATGAGAACAGAAGGCTTAGAAGAGCAAGGCAGAAGGTGAGGGTTTATGGGCTTGACATCAATGGCCATCTGAACACTTAAAAGTTTCCAATTGCTCAAATCGTCATCCAGCACATGCTACAGACTTGCCTGAAGAAGAAAAAGCTGATAAAGTGAGATTGTTTACCATGTTACTTGCCCTACTTCAGAGGATTTTATGTATGGCACAGTGTGGGGTCGGTGGCAATATGAACAGGTAAGATACCTTTACTCCACTACATAGAGTAAATTATTCTATTTTCCCCCCTTTCCATTCATACAGTAAGTACCCTACTGAGACATTTGTTACATTCCAGGGATAGTAGCAGTCTCTAGGAATAAAAATGAATGAATAAGGAAATGAAATAATGAATGAAGGAGCAAAAGAATGAATAAAATTACCCATTTTGCATGCCTCGCATTTGTTTTGCTTTGGTTCCATATCATTAGAAATGGAGTAAATCTCTGAAGAATCAGAATAGAACGAACTGACTGATCTTTGATTGTATGGCCTTATATAAGTAACCTAATGCCTTAGACTCTGCATTTTCTCATCTGTGAAATAGAGATAAGGAAACTTCCCTGCTCACCCCATAAGGTTATTGGGAAGACAAAAGGAGCCCATATGTAAGAAAATACTTTGTAATCACTAAAACACAGCATACGATACTATTATAATAAGGGAAACATCTCAAAGTTTAATTTGTGACCACTAAATGTAATTTAAATTAGAGGCTTGAAGTTCACCTTCTATTCTTTGAAGTGTCACTTTATTAAATTAATAATGTAAACAAGATGAGGGAGGGGAAGCAGGCATTTAAGCCACTTTACTTTTAACCACAATTGGTGTGCTAATTATGGATCTAATTTGGCTATTCACCAAAGCAAGGTCTTTAAGGACAATGCTATTCATCTTGTCCTAGGTAATTTGCATATTTGAAAGAAATGAAAATAAATTTCTTTTAAAAATAGACCAATTCAGATTTCTTTTATTTTAAGTTATCTTATTCACCAAAGATCCCTCATCCTCCACCCCCACCGGGGTAGCCTCATGAGGTTTGATAGGTAGGACTTCAGAAACAAAGATGGATGACCAGCAGTTCATTGACTCTACAATGAGAATTATCTGAGCACAGGAAGTTCAAGCGGGAAGTCTGGGGCATGAATCTTTGAGCAAGAATTCCCCTTGGGAGTAGAACAAGATGGCAAGGGTAAGAAAGCTGGCTCTCCTCTTAAGAAGACAGGGAGATTAGACTTGTGCATGTTTTTGCTTAACTTGTGGATAAAGTCTTACAGACAGGTGCAAAAAATAAATCCTCTTTTGCAACCCAGAACTCATTGTTCAGTATGAGTTTTGATACATATAAGAAAGGACATTTTCATACCTGAGACAGTTAACTAAGTGACGGGAGTTCTGATAACCATAAAGGTTGGTTCCAGGCCAGGCATAGTGGTTCACGCAAGCAATCCCCACACTTTGGGACACCAAGGTGGGAGGATTGCTTGAAGCTAGGAGTTCAAGACCAGCTTGGGCAAGAAAGCAACACCCCATCTCCATTAAAACTTAAAAATTAGGTGGGTGAATATTTTTCTTTATATATAAAATTTAAAAAATAAAATTTTAAGAAAAGAAGACAGGGAGAGAAAAAAACAGCATCTGGGGACCCATCACTGTGTACTCCCAGCATGAGAATGGTGACTAACTTTCTCCCACCAAGCCCACTTTCTAAGTGCTGTAACCCTGATACCCAGCCCTGGGGCCTGGCTGAAATTGCAGCCAGCAAGGCAGAAACAGCACAACCATGGGGCTGCAGATCTACCTGCTATGCCCCTTCCTGGACTGCTGGGTGCACTGGCTAATTCCATGTGAGTGGCATTTTCTAGGCTGTGAACCACTTGCCCTACATTATCTCATTTGATTCTTATCACAAGCCTCTTCTTCCTTGATGCACACATTGAACTTTGGTTAGAGTTGAAAGGAGATGTCTCAATTATGTAAGGGGAAGGATTTCTAGAGACCCTGTGTTCTTTCATTTTCTCTTATTGGGAGAGACATTTTATGAGAAACAGAGTGGTAGCATGGAAAAGGTCAAGAACCAAAAGTTGACTTGGGTTCTAGTAAAGCTGACCTCCAACTGACAGGCTTGAAAGCTTAGTTTCCCATTCTTCAAGACATTGATAAGAATGTATGACAGAGATATTTTAAGGGTTAAATGTGTATAAACCATGCAGAACAATTCCTAACAGAAAATCAACATTTAATAAAGGGGAGTTATGTCCCCTTTCTGTCTATCTTCAGGGAAAGTTTAAGGATCAAATAGTCATTCAACAAATGTTTATTGAATGCTTGCTGTCTGGCACACACTGCTCCAGGATTGGGGGATATAGCAGGAAAAATGCTTGAATCCCTATAGAAGTACCACATAAATGTGAGTCGTGTAATTAAGAGGAATCAATACTACGTGACTCTATCTGTCCCAAGAGCTGGTTAAGGTTAGGATCCAGAGGAAGTCCAGAATGAAATTGAAGAATGGTCTTATGGAAATGAAAAATTGTTCTGTTCAATCACATGGAAGTTATTATGGGAAATATCATCCTTAGAATTTCTCTATACTATGGTAACTGCTGAAATTGTCAGGCATGATAAATAGGGAATTTTTTTTAATCACACAACCCTACTGTGTCGTTTATGATGTAGGAAGCCACAAGTTTTTCTCTCACTCTAACAAACGAAACAAACCAGATAAGCTGCATCACTTTTTTTTCAAATATACCAGTTCAAGACATAAAGAAACAAAAATTAACTAAATTCCAGAAAAGGACAAGTGCTTTATAAGAGAGAAGAGACCTTAGCTGATCACATCCCTGGAAGAGTTCTGAGAGGACTTAAAAACAAAAACAAGAAAAAAACAAAGAAAAACACACCATAATTTTGGATAGGAAGAATCCAGCTGAAATTAAAAACATAAATAAGAGTATATATGGACTGGCAGATTAATATTCTGAAGAACCCCAGGTACAGAGTGAGATTGAATCCACCTGCCAAATCTTTCTAAGGGTCTTCACTGAGTGCTCAGAGATAGTGTGCCAACAGCTTGGGACAGGTCAGGAAGATCACCCATGAGGTATATGGTACCTCCTCAAGTTACAAAGCAGCCCACCTCCAGAGGTAAGGAGCATGACAAGAGAGCTAAAAGATATTCATCAGAGGCACCAAAGGTCAGAAGAAATGCCAGATATCTTGCACACATCTTAAAATATAAGTCATTTCAAGGCTTCAAAGAATAAAGTTGCCCTCAGAAGGCTTGGGCAGGCCAGCAGGGTTAAAAAAAACTCCTAAGCCATGAAAACTCAGGAGCTGTGCTGAAGAGCAAAGACAACCCTCTAGCAACTTATAAATCTGGCAGGCAGGCTAGAAAGCAGAGAGTTTTCACACAGTTTGGAAAGCCGTCAACTCTATTGAAATTCATAAAAAGATCTCCACAATATTGGCAATTCCAGAGCATAAATCCTGCAAAAAGGAGAATCCCAAACAATCCTGAAAATAACTAAAGCCTGCAGTAAGTGAAACAAACTAAAGCTGCAACAAAGCCCAGACCCAGTTCAATAACTGATCAGATTAATTTTGACCTTCATCTTAAAAAACTGATAGAAGAAAAGGGGTGCTTTTTCCTAGAAGTAATTATTGTTTGCCTCAGTCTTTACTATTCTTTTATACAAAATGTCTATGCTATGACCAAAAATTACAAGATACATATAGAAGCAAGAAAATGTGACTCACAGACAAGAGAAGAAACAGTTATTAAAAGCAGAACCGGAGATAGCCCAGATGATGAAATATCAGACTGGGTCTTGAAGGTATTTAGGATAAAAATGCTAAAGGATCCTGTGGAAAATGTATACAACATGCTTTAAGACAGAGACCAGTACTGGTATGTGGCCTGTTAGGAACCAGGCCACACAATAGGAGGTGAGTGGTAGGCAAGTGAACATTACTTCCTGAGCTCCACCTCCTGCCAGATCCACAGCATCATTAGATTCTCATAGAAGCACGAATCTTATTATGAACTGTGCATGCAAGGGATCTAGGCTGTATGTTCCTTGTGAGAATCTAATGCCTGATGATCTGAAGTGGAACAGTTTCATCCTGAAACAATCCCCTCCACCCCCATCCATGGAAAAATTGTCTTCCATGAAACCATTCCCTGATGTCAAAAAAGGTTTGGGACTGCTGCTTTAGGAGCTAAGTGATTACAGCAGGAAAATACACTATTTCTTAAACCAAATGAAAACACTAGAAATTAGAAACACTACATCAAAATAAAGAATCCAAGAGAAGACCTTAAATGCAAAATGCACACAGCAGAGGAAAGGACCAATGAACTTGAAGACGATCAATATAAAGTAACAAAAATGAAACTCAAAGACAAGAATTATTAAAAACAAAAAAAGCGAGCACCTGTGGCACAAGATGAAAAGCTGTAAGACAATATGGAAAGTTCCAAAACACATGTAATCAGAGTCCTAGGAGTAGAAGAAAAAGAATAGTGCAGAAGAAATATTTAAAAACAAAATAGCTGCAAACTTTTCAAAATTGATGAAGGACATTGACCCACAGATTAAAAACTCAACCCCAAGAAGTACAAATACAAAGAAAACTGTACCTAACACAAGTGTGAAAACATGCAAAGTCAAAGACAAAGAGAAAATCCTAAATGGAGCTAAAGCAACAAAAAGAACAACAATAACAGTTGTCTTCTCATCAGAAACAGTAGAGACCAAAATTAACAGAATAACAATACTGAAGAGTCGGAAAGAAGGCAGTCAACACATAATTCCATATACAATGAAAATATCCTTCAGAAATGAAGACTAAATAGGCTTTTTTATTCACACATATGGACTACCTTTTGTTCTGCTTTTATTAACTGTTTCTTTTCTTGTCTGTATGAGTCACATTTTCTTGCTTCTATATGTATCTTGTAATTTTTGGTCATAGCATAGACATTTTGTATAAAAGAATAGTAAAGACTGAGACAAACAATAATTACTTCTAGGAAAAAGCACATCTTTTCTTCTATTAGTTTTCTAGAATTAGTCTTGAAAAACTAATCTCAATTTAAAAAATAGTTGCCTACGACTGATGGAAAGTTAAACCAGATGAAATTCTAGAACTATAGGAAAGAATAATGAACCAAAAAGGGTAAATATCTAAGCAAATATAAAAGCGTTTTTTGTTAGCTTCTTGAAATGTTTTAATGGCTATTAACAGTTTAAAATATAAACAATAAAAATATAACTGGTGCACAGCACATGCAGAGAAAATATATAAGACAATAAGAGGATAAAAAGCAGAGGAGTGAATAGAAATATATAGTTTTAAGTTTCTTAAACATTTGTTTAAAAGTATAATTTTATTTGAAGGTTAACTGTGATAACTTAAATATCTATGTTGTGATATCTAAAACAACCAGTAAAATAAGTCAAAAAAGACACGTTTCTAAAAGATCAATACAGACTTGTGCTCCTGGCCAAAATTGGGCAATGAGATAGAATTTCCCTTCCCATCTGAAGTAGTAAAAAAAAGTGGGGGACAAAATATGTGGAATAAAAGTTCTCAGGCAATGCAGGAAAGCTATCACTGTGCCCAACAAAAAAAACAATGGAGCTCTACTATTGCTAAGCTTGAGATCTGGAGAGAATTTCTAGGCTGCTGTGCAGGAAAATGATCTGTAGAGGAGCTTGTCTCCAGAAGACAAAATAGAGGAGGGAGTCTGGAGAGATTTTTGTAACTGGAGTTCACAGGGCAGGCCTCCAAAGGGGAAAGATCTGCACAGATTGCTCTGGAGAACTACAGAAAAGAGAAATGATTTAAATATGTGTGTAAGGAAACTATAAGAGGAAGAATGATCTAGAAGAGCAGAAGGAAGAATCATAAGAAAGAGAGCTTACATAGGACTAGAAAAATTCATTTTTCCACCAAAGTAAAAAAACCTCAGTATTTCCAGAGCACTGGGTAAAATGCTTAGATGGGTATATCTTAGTAGTGGAACAAAATTGGCCCTAAACTGAAGGCTGCCCTGGCCCAGACTAATGAAACTTAAAAGCATGACTTGAAGGATTAAATGTTGCCAAATAACAAGTACATTACAGAACAAAATGCAAGATTATTCTTTAAACTAATGAATGCCCAGCACCCAACAAGGTCAAATTCACCATGTTTGACATTCAATATAAAATTGCTAGACATTCAAAGAAGCAAGACACTACAATCCATAAAGGTGGGAAAAGTCAATCAATTGAAAAATACCTTGAAATAACATATGTAATAGAATTAGTTGACAAGAACATTTTAAAAGCTAGTGTAGAAACAATGACCCAATTACAAAATGAGTTAAGGATTTGAATAGACATCTCTCCAAAGGAGATTTACAAATGTCCAATAAGCACATGAAAAAAGACGTTCAACATCATTAGTCATTAAGGAAATGCATATCAAAACTACAATCGGAACCACTTTACACCCACTAAAATGATTATAATAAATGAGGGAGGAAGGAAGGCAAATAACAATCAGAGGTGTAGAGAAACTGGAACCTTCATGCAAAAATACTGAAAACCATTGAATTTTATACTTTAAGAAGGTAAATTTTCTAGTAAGTGAAATTTGTCTCAAGTTTTTTTAAAAAATCATTCCCAATTTGAGTTCTTGAACCATGTGGCTTTTCAAGCGAGTTGCCTTCCTTCTAGAATTCACATTAGACTGGAAGATGAATCACTTACAAATAGCTTGAAAAAAGCATTGCATTATTAATATACCGAGCCAGAATTAGTTAAAATTGCCAATCATAATTCTGAAAATCAGAATCCCAAATGCCATAATCCAAATGTTGAAATCCCAAAAGATCAAAAGTCATCCATAAAGATCAAAATCCCTAAAGTCTAAAATACATAACGTCTAACTGAATCCCCAAACCATAATGACAGATTTGGAACTGAGTGTGATCAAGACCTCTAAAATAAATTTCAAGGTGTTACTAACAAAATTTGTTTTATCCATTCAGTCCAATGCATTTGACAGAAAATTCAGATGAGTGGATTGGCCATGCAATAGAGCAATAACAAAAACTTCAAGTTTAAAAATGTGTCATTTTTCTGCACTGGCATTCCTTCTAGCTGATGATATTCTAGGAGCTTTTGGTGAATTAAAGCCACATTTGCCTGGAGAAGCCAAGGCAGTTACTGACTAGTTCAAAAATGGTTACATGCATGGTAAAGTAAGAAGACACTAAATGGTGTTGCTGTTCCATCACCAGTATTGTTTCCTCTAAATTTACGGTTTGTATTTTAGTGCATGTGAAATGGATTTTTGCATAAGTAAAACAACATGAAAACAAGGCAGAGAAGATGCAAAATTTTGATAGGGAATGTTCATGTCACAATATATTAAATCATAGCAGAATTTCAAAAAGATCAACACCACATAGAAAATGAGTGTGAACATATTCCCTGAGGAAAGCCATGCCCTAAAAGAAAAAAAAACAACAACACAGCTATTCATTACTATGCAAGATGTCAAAATATAGTAAATGATCATGAAAGTTGGCCAGCTCTTATGGACTATCTCCATACGGTTGTCCATAATCTATCCCTGTAATACATCTTTTATTCATGTATCAAATTTTCTTTTAGGTTTTTCTTTTAGTTTTATTTTCCCCACTGTTTTAAATTGTCAGCATTATTTTTTACAATTTGCTATGTGTTGTATTTTATCTTTATATCATTTCCAATACTGGAGGTACAGATAAATTTAAGACTTTTAGAGAATTCTAATTTGTTTTATGCATTCTTTGCAAATTTGACTCCATAAAAATACATTATCACAATACTGACTTTGTGTGCAAGCATTATACATATACATAAAAATGTTGAAGCTTCCTCAATAAATGAAGAGATATCCTTTTTGTATCTCTACATATATGAAAGATAAAATTTCTCCAGGTCTCAGCTCTTCAGGTAACTGAATATGTGATAGTGACCCATTGCAGTTTTTTATCAGTCTCATCAAAACATTTAGGTTGTCCTTTATAGTATTTCAGATCACTGCAGGTACAAAGCTGGATGCACACAATTACCAATGATAGTGATATATGCCTATACATTTCCCATTTTGACCCATTTCTTTATCAATAAGTTTTATGTTCAAAACTGTGTGACTGTTGTTAGTATACTGGAGTGCCTATGCTTGCAAAAATGTGTAATTATTATCTATTTAATTGTGTAAAGTGTCCTATGAAGTATTCTGCCATGTTTTATATGTTTGTCAAATAAATCCCCTTTAAAAGTGTAAACGAATGTTTTTCAAAGTATTTTTTAAATTAGTCTTTTTCAGAATTATATTTTAGGGATATTGATTTTTCAAGATTATGATTTTTAGATTTTAGACATTAGGAATTTGGATCTTTCAGGAGTTCAACATTCATGATTATAGCATTAGGAATTGAATCTTTTAGGACTATGGCCCAAACCCAATTAAATCACCCATAGTTAATACTCAGATGTGAAAATGGCAAGACAAATAAGATTCAGTATTATAAACTGCAGACCAATTTCACATCTGTAATGTGGCTAGTCAAATGTTATGGTCATTGATACTTAGACTAATAAATAAATTTCAAGCATGCATTCAATTTTTAACCCAACTCTGGAAGTGTTAAGAGTATAGTAACACAGTCACTGCTAAATATGAATTAGAAGCACAGGGCACAGGGTTGGAGAATGTAGAAGAAAGACAGAAAAGCTGGGGACGCCAGATACCTTGGAGTAGAACTTCCAAGCCAGATCCCAATTTTTCTTCTCTAAATTAAGAAGGTGACAGTATTATAGTACTAATAAATATTTGTGTGATTAGCTCTAAAAAGGTAATTATAAATGTATTCCATATTTATAGAAAGTAGAGGAAACATTAGCATGTAGAGCAAAAACAAGCAAGTAGAGACATGAGAGAATGTTTTTAAGACACAAACGACGAGAGATGAAAAATAAAATAGCTGAAATGAAAAATACATTGACCAGAATTAACAGCAGAATAGACCTTGTAGAAGAAGAAAGCATGATCAAAGTTGAAGACAGCAGTAGAAATTATGCATATAAATCAGAGAGAAAACATTCAAAACAAAAAAAGAACGGGTCATCAGTGAGTTGTGAGACAATTTTAAGTAGCTGAATATACTTGTAATTGAAGTCCTCTAGAGTGGTAAGAGCAGATAAAAACAGTGGCACATATACACCATGGAATACTATGCAGCAATAGAAAAAGATGAGTTCATGTCCTTTGTAGGGACATGGATGAAGCTGGAAACCATCATTCTCAGCAAACTATCGCAAGGACAAAAAATCTAACACTGAATGTTCTCACTCATAGGTGGGAATTGAACAATGAGAACACTTGGACACAGGAAGGGGAACATCACACACCAGGGCCTGTTGTGGGGTGGGGGAAGGGGGGAGGGATAGCATTAGGAGATATACCTAATGTAAATGACGAGTTAATGGGTGCGGCCCACCAACATGGCACATGTATACATATGTAACAAACCTGCAAGTTGCACACGTGTACCCTAGAACTTAAAGTATAATAAAAAAAGACAAAGTTGTATCCAAACTTCATGAAAACTATAAAGTCATAGACCCAAGAAGCTCAATGAATACTAAGCAAAAGAAATATGAAAAAACACTACACCAAGGCATATAAAAATCAAATTACTTAGAACCAGTGATAAGTCTTGAAAGCTGCCAAAGACAAAAGACACACTAGGTACAGAGAACGAAAAATAAAATTGATGCAGACTTCTCATTAGGAACAATGTAATACAGAAGATAGTGAACCAACTCTAAAATACTAAAAAAAAAAAAAAACCTATCAACTATTAATTCTATATCAAGTAAAAGTACATTTTAAAATGAAAGCAAACTAGGGCTGTTTTTAGAAATACAAATAGTTAAGAGCTCATCAGTAGCAAATCTAAAGTACAGAAAGAAGAAAAATAATACCAAATAGAAATCTACACCCATACAAAGAAATGAAGGGTACTAGAAATGCCCAAAATGTGAGTAAATGCAAAATTTTTTGTAATTTCTGTAACTCTGTTAAACATAGCTGAATATTAAAAGTAATCACTATGTAGAGTGAGATTTATCTAAAATTAAAATGAATAACAACAATAACACGACGATCAGGAGGAAGGGATGAAAAGACATCTTTGTAAGGATCTTGTGCTATACCCAAAGAGGTATGACATCTGATAATGGTACAAGATATATGAGTCCCAAAGAAAAGAAAAGAAAGAGAGAGAGAGGGGTGGCAAGGGGAGGGAGAGAGGAGAAGGAAAAGAAAGAAAGGAAAAAAAAGAAAGGAAGGAAGGAAAAAGTGCAGAGAGGGAGAGAGGGAGGAGGGAGGGAGGGACAGAAAAAGAAAGACAAAGAAAAAGAGAAAAGAGGGAAGGGAAGGAGGAAAGAAAGGGACAAACCATAGCAAATAGCACAACAAGGAAAATTAAAATGGAATCATAGAGTATGTTCAATTATCCCAAAGATAGAAAAACAGGAAAGGTAAACAAGTAACAGAGGGAATAGATGTTTTGAAAAACAGATAGACTGATGATAAATTTAACTCCAATCATATCAATAATCACCTTTCATCTTTATGTGCTAAATGCCCTTAATTAATTGGCAGATTAAATAAAAAGGCAAGACCTAAGTATATGCTGCTAACAAGAAACACATTCTAAATATAATGACTCACATTTAAATATTTAATCCAAATTGAGTTGATTTTATATATGGTAAAAGGTAAAGACCAAGTTTCATTCTCCTGCATAAGAACATCCAATTTACCCAGCACCATTTACTGAAGAGTGTGTCCTTTCTCCCTGTGTATGTTCTTAGTGCCTTTGTCAAAAATCAGTTGACAGTAAATACATGGATTTATTTCTCAGTTCTCTATTATATTCCTTTGGTCTATATGCCTATTTTTATACCAATACCATGCTGTTTGGTTTACTATAGCCTTATAATATATTTTGAAGTCAAGTAGTGTAATGCTTCCTGCTTTATTCTTTTTGTTCATGATTGGGCTATTAGGATGCTTTCATGTTTCCATGTAAGTTTTAGAATTTTTTTTATTTTTCTGAAAAATGATATTTGTATTTTGATAGGGATTGCACTGAATCTGTATATTGTTTTGGGCAGTATAATCTTTTTTTCTTTTCTTTTTTTTTTTTTTTCTGAGACAGAGTCTTGCTCTGTCGCCCAGGCTGTGGTGCAGTGGCACGATCTCTGCTCATTGCAACCTGTGCCTCCTGGGTTCAAGCAATTCCCTGCCTCAGCCTTCCGAGTAGCTGGGATTACAGGTGCCCGCCACCATGCTCAGCTAATTTTTATATTTTTAGTAGAGACGGGGTTTCACCATCTTGGCCAGGCTGATCTTGAACTCCCAACCTCATGATCCACCCGCTTTGACCTCCCAAAGTGTTGGGATTACAGGCGTGAGCCACTGTGCCCAGGCAGTACAATCATTTTAACAGTAGAATCTTTAGGTTTTTCTAGATATAAGATCATATCATCTGCAGAGGGATAATTTCATAGTAGTCTCTGATGATCTTTTGTATTTCTGTCCTATCGTAATATCTTCTTTCTCATTTCTGATTTTGTTTATTTGGGTCTTCTCTTTTTTTCTTGGTTAGTGTAGCTAATAGTTTTCAATTTTGTTTATCTTATTTAAAAAAAACTTTTTGTTTTGTTGTTCTTTATAAAATTTTTTAGTCTCTATTTTGTTTAGTTCTGCTCTGAACTTCATCATTTTTTCCCTCTGGGGAAACACTTTAGGACATTGGTCTTGGCAAAGATTTTATGGCTAAGACCTCAAAAGCACAGGCAAGAAAAACAAAAATAGACAAAAGGAACCATATTAAAGTTAAAAGCTTCTGCATAGTAAAGGAAGCGATCGACAGAATGAAGAGACCACCTGTTAAATGGGAGAAAATATAGGCAGTCTATTTATCCAACAAGTGACTAATATTCAGACTATACAAGGAACTCAAATAACTCAAGAGTAAAAAAAGTAATAATAATCTCACTATAAAGTAGGCAAAGGACATGAATAGACATTTCTCAAAAGAAGACATACAAATGGCCAACAGGTATATGAAAAAAATCACTAATCAATCATCATGGAAATGCAAATCAAAACCACAATGAGATATCATCTTACCCCAGCTAGAAAGGCTATTATTAAAAAGACAACAGACTGGTCCCAGTGGCTCACTCCTGTAATCCCAGCACTATGGGAGGCCAAGGCAGGCACATTCCTCAAGCCCAGGAGTTTGAGGTCAGCCTGGGCAACATAGTGAAACCCTGTCTCTACAAAAAAAAAAAAAAAAAAAAAAAAAAAATTGCCAGGTGTGGTGACAGGCACCTGTAGCCCCAGCTGCTTGGGAAGCTGAGGCAGCAGGATTGTTTAAGTCCAGGGAGGTCAAGGCAACAGTGAGCCATGATCACACCACTGCACTCCAGCCTGAGGGACAGAGTGAGACTCTGTCTCAAAAAAAAAAAAAAAAAAAAAAAAAAAAAATAGTACAACCACTATGGAAAACAGTATGGAGATTTCTCAAAAACCTAAAAATAGAACTATCATGTAATCCAGCAATCCCCCACTGAATAGTTACTCAAAGGAAAAGAAATAAGTATATCAAAGTGATACCCGCACTTTCATATTTATTGCAGCACTATTCACAATTAAAGAAGATATAGATTCAACCCAAGTGTCCATCAACAAATGAATTAATAAAGAAAATGTGGTATATATACATGATGAAATACTATTCAGGCATAAAAAAGAATGAAATTATGTCATTTACAGAAACGAGGATGGAACTGGAAGTCATTCTATTAAGCGAAAAAAGCTAGGCACAGAAAGACAAATATCACATGTCCTCACTCATCTATAAAAGCTAAAAAGGTAATCTCATGGAAGTACAGAGTAGAATGATGGATACCAGAGATTGAGAAGGGTGTGTGGGTGGGGAAAGGGGGGTGATAAAAAGAGGTTGGTTAATGGGTACACACATACAGTTAGATAGAAGGAATAAGTTCTAATGTTTGATGGCAGAGTAAGGTGGCTATAGTTAACAACAATATATTGTATACTTCAAATGGCAAGAAGAGAGGACTCAAAATGTTCCCAAGACATAAAAATGATAAATACTTAAAATAATGAAGACCACAAATAGCCAGCCATAATCATTACATTGTCTATGTATCTAATAAAATATCATATGCAACTCACAGATATGTACAAATGTTATGTATCCATTTAAAAAACAAATAATGACTAAAATATTTAAAAAATGAAATGTTGAACAAATAAACCCTACAAATACTAATCAAAAGAAGGCTGAAGTGGCTATACTAAAATCAGTTAAAGGATATTTTGAAGCAGAAAACAATATATTTAAATTGTTAATTCTCCCTAACTAACCTTAGATTTAATTAAGTCCCAACTAAAATTCAAGGAGGCTTTTCTATAGAAAGTGACAAGCTGATTCTAAAATTCATATGGAAATTCAAAAGACATAGAATAGTCAAAATATTGGCAAAAGAACACAACAGGAAGGCTAAGACTACCTAATTTCATGACTTATTATAAACCTATAGTGATCAAGAGTAATTCACTGGCTTAAAGATAGACAAGCAGATCAGTAGAACAGAATAGGCTTCAGTAGTTAACCCACACATATATAGACAGCTGATTTCTGACGAAGACCCAAAGGCAATTAAGTGAAGAAAGGGTACACTTTTCAAAAAATGGGTGTTGAAAATATTGGCTTTCCATACATACACAAATAAAGGTCTTTGATCTATACCCCACACTATATGCAAAAATTAATTCAAACATGGATCTAAGAACAAAATTAGAACCCAAAACTAATAAACATCAAGAAAAGCATGGGATAAAAATCTTGTTACCTTTATGTACTTGTATAATCTCACTTATATGTGGAATCTAAAAGGGATGATCTCACAGAAACCGAATAGAAAAGTGGTTACCAACTCTACTACAAAGACATATGCACATGTATGTTTATGGCAGCACAATTTACAACAACAAAGACTTGGAACCAACCCAAATGCCCATAAATGATAGAGTGGATAAAGAAAATGTGGCATATATACACATGGGATACTAGGCAGCAATAAAAAAGAATGAGTTCATGTCCTTTGCAGGGACATGGATGAAGCTGGAAGCCATCATTCTCGGCAAACTAACACAGGAACAGAAAATCAAACACCACATGTTCTCACTCATAAGTGGGAGTTGAACAACTAGAACACATGGAAACAGGGAGGGGAACATCACACACCAGGGCCTGTCGGCGGGAGGGGGTGGGGCATGGGAAGGGAGAGCATTAGGACAAATACCTAATGCATGAGAGACTTAAAACCTAGATGACAGGTTGATAGGTGCAGCAAACCACCATGGCACATGTATACCTATGTAACAAACCTGCATGTTCTGCATGTGTATCCCAGAACTTAAAGTAAAATTTAAAAAAAAGAAAATTTAAAAATAATAACAATAATAATAATGGTTTATGCTCTTGGGTTGCAGATAATCCTCACAGAAACCAGACACAGGAAGTAAAAGTATGGCACAGAGATCAATATTAATTTAATGCAGTAAGATGGTAATTAAAAGCATTCCTTTATGGTCTTCCCCACTTCTGAGTCCATGATCCTTCAGTCTCTGATGGTTTTCTCCTTTAACCCAAACAGTTAGCCTTCAATGTCCACTTCTAAGCATAACATGACACAGAGGCTCAGATATAAACTTGCAGAGCAAGGCTTTCCTGCCCTTAGACTGAATAAAAGATACCACAACCATCTAGAAAGGAGTAGAGTAAGGACAAGAGGTCTCCATCCACCACAGGCACAAGCAGCAAATCAGTGTCCAGTTGCCCTTCTCTCTATGGTCCAGTGAGCAGCCTGTTTGTTGCCTTGAATTGTCAGCAGGAATGACAGTCATCTCTCCATCAACACATTGCTTAGCACCCCCATCTGACCCCCTCATGGAGGCAATCTCTCCATTCACCAGCCCTGAACATGAGGTGAAGGGGGGGTCCTGGAAACCTGGCTGGGAGTTGTAGCCTGGAAGGGAGACCCACCCCTCACACATCTGATCATGGTGAAGCTAGACAGAACCAGATGTCCTACCTCATCTGAATAGCCATGGAACCCCACTCCTGTTACATTAATGTAATAACTTAGACACTCTATGTAAGTATCTAACTGATGGGGTTCAAAAACATACTACCAAAAACATTGAAACTTGATATATTAAATATTTTAAACTGAAGGTATTTGAAAAACAGCCTGTGCAGGAAGGTTTCTCTGACCTTCTCCCCACCATCTATCCAAAAGAAGGTCAGTAAACAACAACAATAAAAAAAAAAAGAAAGAAAGAAAGGTGGTTACCAGAGGCTGGAGGGGAAGGGAAGGAGTGGAAAAAGGGGAAATGTTGATCAAAGGGTACTAACTTTCAGTTAAATCGGAGAAGTAAGTTTGGATTATTTATTTTACTGTATTTTGACCACAGTTAGTAATAATGTATTGTATATTTCAAAATTGCTAAAAGAATAGATTTTTAATGTCCTCACCACAAAAAAACTTGGTGAAGTAACAGATATGTTAATTAGATTGATTGAATCTTTCTACAATGTATATGTAGATCAAAACATCACAATGTACCCCATAAATATACACAATTATTGTTTGTCAATTAAATGTAAATCAATAAAAAATATAAAAACTATCAAAGACATGAAAAACAAGGAAAGACTGAGAAAGCATCACAGATTAGAGAGGATTGAAAAGCAAAACAATTAAATGTAGGTAGTATTCTACATTGATTCCTGGAACAGAAAAAAAAAAGACATTAATACAAAAATTGAATGTCATCTGAAATGTCAGAAGTCATCTGGTGACATCTGAATGTCTTTAATTAATAGTATCATACCAATGTTAATTTCCTAATTTCGAGAAATGTACTATGGTCATATATAAAAGTTTTTAAAAAGTAATAAAGAAACAAATAATCTTATGCAAATAAATTCAGTAACTTAGATAAAAGGGAAAATCCTTGACAATATATTTTTATTAAATCACAAAAATAAAAACATAAAATAACATATCTATTAACAAAATTAATAAGTAAATTTAGAAAAGTTACAGGTTAAAAAGCCTAAACACTAAACAACTGGAAATCAAAACTAAAAAATACAATTAACAACAGGTTGTAAAAACTTCAAAAACTTGAACTAAAACTAACTAAAAATATACAAGCACTTTTTACTGAAAACTACAATATATTGCTGAGAAAAACAAAAGAAGACTGAAATAAATGAATAATGTTTATCAATTAAAAGACTCAATATTGTTAAGATATGCAGTCTCTGTAAACTGGGCTACATGTTCAATGCAATCCCTATCAAAATTCTGCAGGCCTTTTTGGAGAAATTGATGATTTGATTAAATAATTTATATGAAACAAAAAAACCAAAACAGGTAACACAACTCTGAAATAAAAAGAACACAGAGAATTTATAGTTCTTGGTTTTAAGACCTGTAAAACTAAAATAATCAGGAAAATAGGGAGGGAGACAAGATGGTCAACTAGAAGTAGCCAAGAACTCCTCCCACCAGGACAAGCCAGAATATCAAGTAGACTGCCATACTCCAAACAGATCATCTGAGAGAATGCAATGAGAATGGCTAAAGAGATAACCCAGATGCTAGGGCTTAACCAAGAGGAAGCTAGGAAACCTGCACAGAGTTGTCAAGTGCTAGGACATGCTCTAGGCCCTAAATGACTGCTAAGAAAAAGGGGAGTAGTGAAATAAATGTGGAGCTGCCCACTCTTGCCACTGACCTCTGGGATTATAGCTGCAGGAAGCCCCAAAACCACATGGACATCTTAGTGGGCAGGGCGAACTGCCTGGAGAGTAGTCAGAGACAACCTGAATCTGCATAAAGCCTAGGTGGGCTGTGTGGGGATGGCTGCAGAGGAGCACAGCAGGTCCCCTGCATGTACTGTCTTGCCTGCCGCCATGTAAGATGTGCCTTTGCTCCTCCTTTGCCTTCCACCATGATTGTGAGGCCTCCCCAGCCATGTGGAACTGAGTCCATTAAGCCTCTTTTTCTTTATAAATTACCCAGTATTGGATGTTTCTTCATAGCTCATGAAAATGGACTAATACAGTAAATTGGTACCAGTAGAGTGGAGTACTGCTATTAAGATACCTGAAAATGTGGAAGCAGCTTTGGAACTGGGTAACAAGCAAAGATGGGAACCATTTGGAGGGCTCAGAAGAAGGTAACAAAATGTGGAAAAGTTTGGAACTTCCTAGAGACTTGGAGAGCTCAGAACACAGAAAAATGTGGGGAAGTTTGGAACTTCCTAGAGACTTATTGAATGGCTTTGACTAAAATGCTGATAGTGATATGGACAATGAAATGCAGGCTGAGGTGGTCTCAGAAGAAGATGAGGGACTCATTGGGAACTGAAGCAAAGGTGATTCTTGTTATGCTTTAGCAAAGAGACTGGTGGCATTTTGCTCCTGCCCTAGAGATCTGTGAAACTTTTAACTTGAGAGAGATGATTTAGGGTATCTGGCAGAAGAAATTTCTAAGCGGCAAAGCATTCAAGAGAAAGGAGAGCATAAAGGTTTGAAAAATTTGCAGCCTGACGATGCAATAGAAAATAAAAACCCGTTTTCTGGGGGAGAAATTCAAGCCTGCTGCAGAAATTTGCATAAGTAACAAGGAGCCAATTGTTAATCACAAAAACAATGGAAAAAATGTCTCCAGGCCATGTCAGAGATCTCACAGCAGCCCCTCCCATCACAGGCCTGGAGGCCAAGGAGGGAAAATTGTTTCCTGGGCCAGATCCAGGGTCCCCTGCTGTGTGCAGCCTAGGGACTTGGTGCCCTGCCTCTGAGCCACTCCAGCCATGGCTAAAAGGGACCAAGGTACAGCTTGGGCCATGGCTTCAAAGGGTGAAAGCCCTAGGCCTTGGTAGCTTCCACTTGCACAGAAGGTCAAGAATTGAGGTTTGGAAACCTCCGTATAGATTTCAGAGTATATATGGAAATGCCTGGATGTCCAGGCAGAAGTTTGCTTCAGGGGTGGGGCCCTCATAGCAAACCTCTGCTGGGGAAATGGAGAAAGGAAATGTAGGGTTGGGACCCCCACGCAGAATCCTCACTGGGGCACTGCCTTTGTGGAGCTGTGAGAAGAGGGCCATCATGCTCCAGACCCCAGAATGGTAGATTTCCTGACATCTTGCACCATGCCCGTGAAAAAGCTGCAGACACTCAATTTCAGCCCATGAGAGCTGCCAGGAAGGGGGCTCTACCCTGCAAAGCCACAGGGCCAGAGCTTCTCAAAGCCATGGGAGCCCATCTTTTGCATCAGCATGACCTAGACGCAAGATGTGGTGCCAAAGGCAATCATTTTAGAGCTTTAAGATTTGACTGCCCTGCTGGATTTTGGACTTGCATGGGGCCTGTAGCTTCTTCATTTTTGCCAATTTTCCCCATTTGGAATGGGTGTATTTACCCAATGCCTGTACCCCATTGTACCTTGGAAGTAACTAACTTGCTTTTAATTTTACAAGCTTATAGGTGAAAGGGATTTGCCTTGTCTCAGATAAGACTTTGGACTGTGGACTTTTCAGTTAATGCTGAAACGAGTTAAGATTTTGGGGGACTGTTGGGAAGGCAGGATTGGTTTTGAAGTGTGAGGATATGAGATTTGGGAGGGACCGGGGTGGAATAATACGGCTTGGCTGTGTCCCCACCCAAATCTCATCTTGAATTGTAGCTCCCATAATCCCCATGTGTCATGGGAGGGACCTGGTGGGAGGGAATTGAATCATGGGGATGGGTTTTTCCCATGCTGTTCTCATGATAGTGAAGAAGTCTTATGAGATCTGATGGTTTTATAAAAAGCAGTTCTCCTGCACATGGTTTCTTGCCTGCTGCCATGTAAGACATATTTTGCCCCTCCTTCATCTTCTGCCATGACTGTGAGGCCTCACCAGTCATATGGAACTCTGAGTCCATTAAACCTCTTTTTCTTCAAACATTACCCAGTTTCTGGTATTTCTTCATAGCAGTATGAAAATGGACTAATACACTACCAGAGTGTTCCCTACACACAGCACCCAAGCTGCCCATACCACAGCACTTCCTGCTGTGGAGCCCCTGCTGACCCTGCCAGAGCACTTTTGCTACCACCTTCTGCCAGAGCACATTTGCTTGAGACACTGCCATTGCCCCCTTGGGAAAGTGTTTCCCCATTGCACCCCCACTAGAGTGCTTCCCACCCTTAGCACGCCCACTGCCCCTACCACCACCAACAGAGTACTGTTTTCAGTGGTCTAGAAGTATACCTTGGCTCCTCCAGCCCAACCAAGGCTCAATTTTGAGAGACAAGAGGACAAAGCTATGGGCCCAGTCCCAGCCACCCAGGGTTAGAGCACATAGCCCAGAAGTGGAGTACTGAGCCTTAGCCATATGAAAGTATCCAGAAACAAAGCCATTCAACTATACCCAATTTGCACCACATTGAAACCTTCAAGGGCAATATAGAACATAGAAACAAAAAGCCCCATCCAAAGGACAGCAACTAAAAAGGATAAAAGAACATCAGCCCTCATGGATAGAAAGAACCAGCTCAAGAATTCTGGCAACTCTAAAAGTCAAAGTGTCTTCTTAACTTTAAAGGTAGTAGTGTGATCTTTAAAGATCACACTAGCTCCCCATCTATAGTTCTTAGCCAGATTTAAATGGCTGAAATGTCAGACATGGAATTCAGAATCTGGATGTCAAGGAAGCTCATTGCAATACAAGAGAAAGTTAAAATCCAATTCAAGGAAATAGTAAAACTATCTAGAGAAGACATTCCATTTTAAGATGAGACTAAACTGAACTTCTGAAAATGAAAAGTTCACTATGTAATTTCAAAATACAACTGGAATCATTAACAACAAAATAAGCTGAGGAAAGTATCTCAGAGCTTGAGTTCTGTTCCTTTGAAGCAATATAGGCATATAAAAGTAAAGAAAAAAGAATTTTAAAAAATTAGCAAAATCTCTGAGAAATAATGGATTATGTAAAGAGACCAAACCTACAACTCATTGGCATTCCTACAAGAGGAGAGAGATCAGGCAACTTAGAAAACGTATCTGAGCATACAATCCACTAAAATTTTCCCAATCCCACTAGCAATGTCAACATGCAAATTTAAGAAATTCAGAGAATCCTAGGAGTTACTATGCAAGACAACCATCCCCTAGACACACAGGTGTCAGATTCTCCAAGGCCAATGTGAAAGAAAAAATGTTAAAGGCAGCTAGTGAGAAGAGGCAGGTCATTTACAAAGGGAACTCCATAAGGCTAACTGTGGACCTTTCAGCTGAAATTCCACAAGCCAGAAGAGATTGTGGGCCTATTTTCAACAGCCTTAAAGAAAATAAATTCCAACCAAGAATTTCATATCCTGCCAAACTAAGTTTTATAAGTGAAGAAGAAATGAAATTATTTTCAGACAAGAAAATGCTAAGGGAATTTCTTACCACTGGGCCTGCCTTAAGAAGGTCCTAAAGTGAGTGCTAAACATGGAAATGAAAGAACAATACTTGCCACCACAAAAACACACTTAAGTACATAGCCCTTTGACACTATAAAGAAACTATACAATCAAGTTTACATAACAACCAGCTAACAGCATGATTACAGGATTGAGTCCCCACATATGAATATTGACCCTGAATGTAAATGGGCTAAATACCCCACTTAAAAGGAATATAGTAGAAAGTTGGATAAAGAATCAAGACCCAGCTGTCTGCTGTCTTCAAGAGACCTGTCTCACAAGTAATAACACACATAGACTCAAAATAAAGAAATGGAGAAAGAGCTATCAGGCAAACAGAAAACAAAACCAAAAAAAGAGCAGCAGTTGCTATTCTAACATCAGATAAAATAGACTTTAAACAAACAATGATCAAAAAAGACAAAGAAGGGCATTACATAATGATTTAAGCTTCAACAAGAAGACTTAGCTATCCTAAAGAAATATGCACCCAACATTGGAGCACCCAGATTCATAAAACCAGTTCTTACAGATCTATGAAGAGATTTAGACAACCACACAATAATGGTAGGGGACTTTAACACTCCACTGACAGCATTAGACATATCACTGAGGCAGAAAACTAACGAAGTATTGTGGACTTAACCTCAACACTATACCAATTGGACCTAATAGAGGTCTACAGAACACTACACTCAACAACAACAAAACATACATTCTTCTTATCTGCACATGGCACATACTCTAAGACTGACTGCATGCTCATCCATAAAGCAAGTCTCAACAGATTTTAAAAAGTCAAAATCATACCAAGCACACTCTCAGACCACAGCACAATAAAAATAGAAATCAATATCAAGAAGATCTATCAAAATGATAAAATTACATGGAAGTTAAACAACCTGCTCCTGAATGACTTTTGGGTAAAGAACAAAATTAAGGCAGAAATCAAAAACTTCTTTTAAACTAATGAAAACAAAGGTAAAACATGTAAGAATTTTTAGGATACAGCTAAAGCAGTGTTAAGAGTAAAGTTTATACTGCTAAACACGTACATCAAGAAGGTAGAAAGATCTCAAATTAACAACCTAATGTTACACCTAGAAAAACAAGAGCAAACCAACCCCAAAGCTAGTAGAAGAAAAGAGACAACCAAAATCAAAGCTGAACTGAATGAAATTGAGATGCAAATATTCATACAAAAGATCAACAAAACCAAAAGTTGGCTCTTTAAAAGATTAAATAAGATTGATAGACTGCTGTTAATCTAGACTGCTATCTAGAATAATAAATTTAAAAAGAGAGATGATCCTAATAAACACAATAAGAAACGACAATGGCAACATTACAACCAATCCCACAGAAATACAAAACAAAAACAAAAACAAAAGAAACAAAAAACAAAGTTCTCAGAGACTATTACAAACACCTCTATGCACACAAACTAGAAAATCTGGAAGAAATGAATAAATTCCTGGAAACATACAGCCTCCCAAGATTGAGAAAATTGAAATCCTGAGCAGATCAATAATGAGTTTCAAAATTGAATCAGTGATAAAAAGCCTACCAATCAAAAAAAGCCCTGGACCAGACAGATTCACAGTTGAATTCCACCAGATGTAAAGAAGAGCTAGTGCCAATCGTACTGAATTTATTCCAAAAAAAATCAAGGAGGAGGGACTCCTTCCTAACTCATTCCATGAAGCCAGCATCATTCTGATACTGAAATCTGGCAGAGACACAACAACAAAAGAAAACATCAACAAGTCAACAATAACAAATAATGGGGAAAGACTCCCTGTTCAATAAATTATGCTGGGATAACTGACTAGCCATATGCAGAAGATTGAAACTGGACTCCTTTCTTTCACCACATACAAAAATTAACTTAAGATGGATTAAAGACTTAAATGTAAAACCTAAAACTAAAAACTCTAGAAGAAAACCTAGGAAATACCATTCTGGACATCAGCCTTGGCAAAGAATTTATGACTAAGTCCTCAAAAGCAACTGCAACAAAAATAAAAATTGACACATGGGACCTAACTAAACTAAAGAACTTCTGCACAGCAAAAGCAACTTTCAGTAGAGTGAACAGACAATCTACAGAATGAGCAAAAATACAAGCTATGCATCTGAAAAAGATCTAATACTGAGAATCTATAAGTCACTTAAACAAATTAACAAGAAAAAAACCCATTTAAGGAACTGGGCAACAGATATGAACAGACTATTCTCAAAAGAAGATATATGTGCAGCCAGCAAATACATGAAAAAAAGTTCATCATCACAAATCATTAGTAAAATGAAATCAAAACCACAATGCAATACTATTTCATAAAAGTCAGAATGGCTATTATTTAAAAGTCAAAAAACAACAGATATTGGTGACCCTGCAGAGAAAATTTAACAGTTCTACACTGCTAGTGGGAATGTAAATTAATTCAGCCACTGTGGAAAGCAGTGTGGACATTTCTTAAAGAACTTAAAACATAGCTGCCATTTGACCCAGCAATCCCACTACTGGGTATATACTCAAAGGAAAATAAGTTGTTATACTGAAAAGTCACATGCGTTTACTTGTTTCTTACAGCACTATTCACAATAGAAAAGACAGAATCAACTATTATGCTCATTAACAGTGGACTAGATAAATAAAAATGTTCATCAATGGTGGACTGGTATACATATACACCATGGAATACTATGCAGCCATAAAAAGAATGAAATCATGCCCTTCGCAGCAACAGGGATGCAGCTGGAGGCCCTCATTTTAAGTGAACTAATATAGGAACAGAAAACCAAATACCGCACATTCTCACTTATAAGTAACAGCTAAATATCGAATACACATGGACACAAAGATAAGAACAATAGACACTGGGGACTGCTTGAGGAGGGAGGGTGGGAGGCGGATTTGTGGGTTGGAAGGCTACCTATCAGGTGCTATGCTCACTGCCTGGGTAATGGGATCATTTGTACACCAAGCCTCAGTGACACGCAATTTACCTATGTAACAAACCTGCATATATATCCCCAAACGTAAAATAAAAACAGATAAGAAAAATAATGTCATTTTGTTAAAAAATAAGAAAAAGAAAACAGATCTTCTGATTTTAACTATCCTTGATGAAAACTTTGCCATTGTCAAAAGAAAAGCATAAACGAACATTTTCTAGATGAAATCATTATGGATAACTACCTTGAGAGCCTTTCCCCACTTGCAAAAGGGTAGCAGTAAGGGAGAGCTGGGGGAGGAGCCAAGATGGCCGAATAGGAACAGCTCCGGTCTACAGCTCCCAGCGTGAGCAAAGCAGAAGACGGGTGATTTCTGCATTTCCATCTGAGGTACCGGGTTCATCTCACTAGGGAGTGCCAGACAGTGGGCGCAGGTCAGTGAGTGCGCGCACTGTGCGCGAGCCGAAGCAGGGCGAGGCATTGCCTCACTTGGGAAGCACAAGGGGTCAGGGAGTTCCCTTTCCGAGTCAAAGAAAGGGGTGACGGACGCACCTGGAAAATCAGGTCACTCCCTCCCGAATATTGCGCTTTTCTGACCGGCTTAAAAAACGGCGCACCACGAGATTATATCCTGCACCTGGCTCAGAGGGTCCTACGCCCACGGAGTCTCGCAGATTGCTAGCACAGCAGTCTGAGATCAAACTGCAAGGTGGCAGCGAGGCTGGGGGAGGGGCGCCCGCCATTGCCCGGGCTTGCTTAGGTAAACAAAGCAGCAGGGAAGCTCGAACTGGGTGGAGCCCACCACAGCTCAAGGAGGCCTGCCTGCCTCTGTAGGCTCCACCTCTGGGGGCAGGGCACAGGCCAACAAAAAGACAGCAGTAACCTCTGCAGACTTAAATGTCCCTGTCTGACAGCTTTGAAGAGAGCAGTGGTTCTCCCAGCACACAGCTGGAGATCTGAGAACGGGCAGACTGCCTCCTCAGGTGGGTCCCTGACCCCTGACCCCCGAGCAGCCTAACTGGGAGGCACCCCCCAGCAGGGGCACACTGACACCTCACACGGCAGGGTATTCCAACAGACCTGCAGCTGAGGGTCCTGTCTGTTAGAAGGAAAACTAACAAACAGAAAGGACATCCACACCAAAAACCCATCTGTACATCACCATCATCAAAGACCAAAAGTAGATAAAACCACAAAGATGGGGAAAAAACAGAGCAGAAAAACTGGAAACTCTAAAACGCAGAGTGCCTCTCCTCCTCCAAAGGAACGCAGTTCCTCACCAGCAACGGAACAAAGCTGGATGGAGAATGACTTTGACGAGCTGAGAGAAGAAGGCTTCAGACGATCAAATTACTCTGAGCTAAGGGACGACATTCAAATCAAAGGCAAAGAAGTTGAAAACTTTGGAAAAAATTTAGAAGAATGTATAACTAGAATAACCAATATAGAGAAGTGCTTAAAGGAGCTGATGGAGCTGAAAACCAAGGCTCGAGAACTAAGTGAAGAATGCAGAAGCCTCAGGAGCCGATGCGATCAACTGGAAGAAAGGGTATCAGCAATGGAAGATGAAGTGAATGAAATGAAGCGAGAAGGGAAGTTTAGAGAAAAAAGAATAAAAAGAAATGAGCAAAGCCTCCAAGAAGTATGGGACTATGTGAAAAGACCAAATCTACGTCTCATTGGTGTACCTGAAAGTGATGGGGAGAATGGAACCAAGTTGGAAAACACTCTGCAGGATATTATCCAGGAGAACTTCCCCAATCTAGCAAGGCAGCCCAACGTTCAGATTCAGGAAATACAGAGAACGCCACAAAGATACTCCTCAAGAAGAGCAACTCCAAGACACATAATTGTCAGATTCACCAAAGTTGAAATGAAGGAAAAAATGTTAAGGGCAGCCAGAGAGAAAGGTCGGGTTACCCTCAAAGGGAAGCCCATCAAACAGCGGATCTCTCGGCAGAAACCCTACAAGCCAGAAGAGAGTGGGGGCCAATATTCAACATTCTTAAATAAGAGAATTTTCAACCCAGAATTTCATATCCAGCCAAACTAAGCTTCATAAGTGAAGGAGAAATAAAATACTTTACAGACAAGCAAATGCTGAGAGATTTTGTCACCACCAGGCCTGCCCTAAAAGAGCTCCTGAAGGAAGCGCTAAACATGGAAAGGAACAACCGGTACCAGCCGCTGCAAAATCATGCCAAAATGTAAAGACCATCGAGACTAGGAAAAAACTGCATCAACTAACGAGCAAAATAACCAGCTAACATCATAATGACAGGATCAAATTCACACATAACAATATTAACTTTAAATGTAAATGGACTAAATGCTCCAATTAAAAGACACAGACTGGCAAATTGGATAAAGAGTCAAGACCCATCAGTGTGCTGTATTCAGGAAACCCATCTCACGTGCAGAGACACACATAGGCTCAAAATAAAAGGATGGAGGAAGATCTACCAAGCAAATGGAAAACAAAAAAAGGCAGGGGTTGCAATCCTAGCCTCTGATAAAACAGACTTTAAACCAACAAAGATCAAAAGAGACAAAGAAGGCCATTACATAATGGTAAAGGGATCAATTCAACAAGAAGAGCTAACTATCCTAAATATATATGCACCCAATACAGGAGCACCCAGATTCATAAAGCAAGTCCTGAGTGACCTACAAAGAGACTTAGACTCCCACACATTAATAATGGGAGACTTTAACACCCCACTGTCAACATTAGACAGATCAACGAGACAGAAAGTCGACAAGAATACCCAGGAATTGAACTCAGCTCTGCACCAAGCGGACCTAATTGACATCTACAGAACTCTCCACCCCAAATCAACAGAATATACATTTTTTTCAGCACCACACCACACCTATTCCAAAATTGACCACATACTTGGAAGTAAAGCTCTCCTCAGCAAATGTAAAAGAACAGAAATTATAACAAACTGTCTCTCAGACCACAGTGCAATCAAACTAGAACTCAGGATTAAGAATCTCACTCAAAACCGCTCAACTACATGGAAACTGCTCCTGAATGACTACTGGGTACATAACGAAATGAAGGCAGAAATAAAGATGTTCTTTGAAACCAACGAGAACAAAGACACAACATACCAGAATCTCTGGGATGCATTCAAAGCAGTGTGTAGAGGGAAATTTATAGCACTAAATGCCCACAAGGGAAAGCAGGAAAGATCCAAAACTGACACCCTAACATCACAATTAAAAGAACTAGAAAAGCAAGAGCAAACACATTCAAAAGCTAGCAGAAGGCAAGAAATAACTAAAATCAGAGCAGAACTGAAGGAAATAGAGACACAAAAAACCCTTCAAAAAATTAATGAATCCAGGAGCTGGTTTTTTGAAAGGATCAACAAAATAGACTGCTAGCAAGACTAATAAAGAAAAAAAGAGAGAAGAATCAAATAGACACAATAAAAAATGATAAAGGGGATATCACCACCCATCCCACAGAAATACAAACTACCATCAGAGAATACTACAAACACCTCTACGCAAATAAACTAGAAAATCTAGAAGAAATGGATAAATTCCTCGACACATACACTCTCCCAAGACTAAACCAGGAAGAAGTTGAATCTCTGAATAGACCAATAACAGGAGCTGAAATTGTGGCGATAATCAATAGTTTACCAACCAAAAAGAGTCCAGGACCAGATGGATTCACAGCCGAATTCTATCAGAGGTACAAGGAGGAACTGGTACCATTCCTTCTGAAACTATTCCAATCAATAGAAAAAGAGGGAATCCTCCCTAACTCATTTTATGAAGCCAGAATCATCCTGACACCAAAGCCTGGCAGAGACACAACAAAAATTGGTCTAAAAGAGAATTTTAGACCAATATCCCTAATGAACATCAATGAAAAAATCCTCAATAAAATACTGGCAAACCGAATCCAGCAGCACATCAAAACGCTTATCCACCATGATCAAGTGGGCTTCATCCCTGGGATGCAAGGCTGGTTCAACATACGCAAATCAATAAACGCAATCCAGCATATAAACAGAACCAAAGACAAAAACCACATGATTATCTCAATAGATACAGAAAAGGCCTTTGACAAAATTCAACAACCTTCATGCTAAAAACTCTCAATAAATTAGGTATTGATGGGACATATCTATGACAAACCCACAGCCAATATCATACTGAATGGGCAAAAACTGGAAGCATTCCCTTTGAAAACTGGCACAAGACAGGGATGCCCTTTCTCACCACTCCTATTCAACATAGTGTTGGAAGTTCTGGCCAGGGCAATCAGGCAGGAGAAGGAAATAAAGGGTATTCAATTAGGAAAAGAGGAAGTCAAATTGTCCCTGTTTGCAGATGACATGATTGCATATTTAGAAAACCCCATCATCTCAGCCCAAAATCTCCTTAAGCTGATAAGCAACTTCAGCAAAGTCTCAGGATACAAAATCAATGTGCAAAAATCACAAGCATTCTTATACAACAATAACAGACAAACAGAGAGCCAAATCATGAGTGAACTCCCATTCACAATTGCTTCAAAGAGAATAAAATACCTAGGAACCCAACTTACAAGGGATGTGAAGGACCTCTTCAAGGAGAACTACAAACCACTGCTCAAGGAAATAAAAGAGGATACAAACAAATGGAAGAACATTCCATGCTCATGGGTAGGAAGAATCAATATCGTGAAAATGGCCATACTGCCCAAGGTAATTTATAGATTCAATGCCATCCCCATCAAGCTACCAATGACTTTCTTCACAGAATTGGAAAAAACTACTTTAAAGTTCATATGGAATCAAAAAAGAGCCCACATTGCCAAGTCAATTCTAAGCCCGAAGAACAAAGCTGGAGGCATCACGCTACCTGACTTCAAACTATACTATAGGGCTACAGTAACCAAAACAGCATGGTACTGGTACCAAAACAGAGATATAGATCAATGGAACAGAACAGAGCCCTCAGAAATAATGCCACATATCTACAACTATCTGATCTTTGACAAACCTGAGAAAAACAAGCAATGGGGAAAGGATTCCCTATTTAATAAATGGTGCTGGGAAAACTGGCTAGCCATATGTAGAAAGCTGATCTGCATCAGGATCCCTTCCTTACACCTTATACAAAAATTAATTCAAGATGGATTAAAGACTTAAATGTTAGACCTAAAACCATAAAAACCCTAGAAGAAAACCTAGGCATTACCATTCAGGACATAGGCATGGGCAAGGACTTCCTGTCTAAAACACCAAAAGCAATGGCAACAAAAGCCAAAATTGACAAATGGGATCTAATTAAACTAAAGAGCTTCTGCACAGCAAAAGAAACTACCATCAGAGTGAACAGGCAACCTACAAAATGGGAGAAAATTTTCGCAACCTACTCATCTGACAAAGGGCTAATATCCAGAATCTACAATGAACTCAAACAGATTTACAAGAAAAAAACAAACAACCCCATCAAAAAGTGGGCGAAGGACATGAACAAACACTTCTCAAAAGAAGACATTTATGCAGCCAAAAAACACATGAAAAAATGCTCATCATCACTGGCCATCAGAGAAATGCAAATCAAAACCACAAGGAGATACCATCTCACACCAGTTAGAATGGCAATCATTAAAAAGTCAGGAAACAACAGGTGCTGGAGAGGATGTGGAGAAATAGGAACACTTTTACACTGTTGGTGGGACTGTAAACTAGTTCAACCATTGTGGAAGTCAGTGTGGCGATTCCTCAGGGATCTAGAACTAGAAATACCATTTGACCCAGCCATCCCATTACTGGGTATATGCCCAAAGGACTATAAATCATGCTGCTATAAAGACACATGCACACGTATGTTTATTGCGGCATTATTCACAATAGCAAAGACTTGGAACCAACCCAAATGTCCAACAATGATAGACTGGATTAAGAAAATGTGGCACATATACACCATGGAATACTATGCAGCCATAAAAAATGATGAGTTCATGTCCTTTTTAGGGACATGGATGAAATTGGAAATCATCATTCTCAGTAAACTATCGCAAGAACAAAAAACCAAACACCGCATATTCTCACTCATAGGTGGGAACTGAACAATGAGATCACATGGACCCAGGAAGGGGAATATCACACTCTGGGGACTGTGGTGGGGTGGGGGGAGGGGGGAGGGGTAGCATTGGGAGATATACCTAATGCTAGATGACGAGTTAGTGGGTGCAGCGCACCAGCATGGCACATGTATACATATGTAACTAACCTGCACAATGTGCACATATACCCTAAAACTTAAAGTATAATTAAAAAAAAAAAAAAAGGGAGAGCTGTGATGGAGGTAAGCACTAGATAGTCCCAAGATGCTAACTTTCTAGTTCATTCATTTAGAAAACCTTTATTGTATGCCTTTACTGAAAGATAGCCTTTTATATAAGACAAAATACAAGAAAGAGGAGGAGAATACTGGGGAATAATAAATAAATTAGGCATGTGGTTTCTTGTCCTGTATAAGACATTGTATACATATCATATGAAATATTACCATCCCCATTTCACAGAAGAGGATCCTGTAGTTTAGAGAGCTTAGGTAACTTAAAGCTACATAGGTAGTCATGTGAAATGGTAGAAATCAAATCTAGGTCTAATCTGACTTCTAAATTCTGTCTTTTTTCCCCCACACTACATTGCCTTCCAGGACAATATAGCAGGAGAGGTGGATAACAAGAAAATACAATGCAATGTGATGAGTGCTATAACCAAGATAAGTCTTACTGGAATTAACTCTCCCTGAAGGAGCTTTGGAAGTCTCAAGAAAGAGGTGACATTTGAGTTAGGTTTTATTAATGATTAGGGACTCACCAGGTGAAGCCCAGAAAAGGCATGCTTGGAAGCCTGTGAAATGGACTTGAGATTGTACAGAGTATGACAAGGAGTTAGGGTAGGCTGGAATACAGAATTGGTAGGGTTGTTCAATTTCCAGAGATAAAGGTGAACAGTGCATTTTGAGTCTAGATTGAGTAATGCTGTATACGTCAAACAAAGGAGTTTATATTTAATTTTACAGGCAATGGGGAGTCACTGGAATGCTTGAACAACGTTACTTTAAGATGATTTTGACAATGCGTGGAGACTAGATCAAAGGAAAGAGATGGTAAGTGGGAAGATCTGATAGACATATGGCAGTAGCCCACTTGAGAACTAGATTTCCAGAATTGGAAGAGCATCAGTAGAAATGCACTGATGCAATGGAGTGAATACAATGTAGGGCACGAACTTGGCAGGTCATAGTAAATATATGGATAAATATGAAGATGGAAGAACTTCTCTCAATGTGAGGCTTAGGTGACTGTGTGAATGTGAGACAATGTAGAAGAAAAAAGTTGCAGTGGGAGGACACTAATTAGGAAAGTCAGTCTTCCTCTTCTGTTTACTCACCATGGAATGCTCACACATTTTCTCAGTGTTCCATTTTCAGCTTGTAGCACCAAAAGAACAAAAAATTATCTCTGAATTGCAATAAGGGCACAGTTTTATTTTGGATGTCTCCCCTCAGCTCATCAGGCAGGAAATCTTACTTCCTAGTGCCACATCTGTGATATATTCCACCCAACAGAGGATCACATTTGCTTTCGACATCCACCTTCAATACTATGTAGTTTTTCTCTGCTTGTAGGTAAATCTAAATGTGGCAGACACTGGCTAGCTAGTCATCAAATTTGTTTTCCTTTCTTCCATGCCCACAGCTGGGCCATACTTCCTAGACTCCCTTGCTGTTAGATGCAGTGATATGACCAGATTCTAGCCAATAAAAACTGGAAAGACATGAGAGATGCTGTTGCCAGGCCTGACTGTGAAAACTTACTGCACAGTCCTCCACTCTTATTTTCCTCTGTGCCAGCTGGATGTCAGTGTCCAAAGTGTCCTTGGAAGCCACATGTTGAAGACACCAAAGCTTCTGAAAGCCTGAACGGCTGCATGGTGTGGATTCTTCTCTCCCCAGCCCCATCTCCCCAACACTGCTGCTGTTAGACTTAACAAAAGCTAGAAATAAACTTCTACTGAGTTAATACTCTGAGATTTCAGGTTTTATCTTTTAGCCACAGAGATTCCAGAGTTTATCTGCTAACTAAAAGACGAATGCTGCAACTCAGCTGATAATGGACTCTATCCCACTTGCGATACAAATCTGGGTTTCTAGCCAACAGCAGCTCTTAAATTCCATTTATTTGGAGACTATAAAATTGATTCACACACCAAACACCTGTTTAGCTTCCTACATAGGGAATCTATGTCCACAAGTGACTCATACTACAGAGTTTCAACATGCAGTCTCTTCTCAGGCTGAGTTTTAGACTGAGGCCAGTGTTCATGGGGACCCACCTTGGGCGTAGAAAGCCATGGAGGCCTGAACAGCTAACCAGATGGTTAGAAACATCACTCTGACTAAACCTTACATACTGTGCCCTCACACATATGTCTTCTCATTCTACTGGGGATGAGGGCCACCAAGGGCCCTCATAGCCACATAGGAAAGTTACCCAGCATAAGAAAATGACAGAACCAGGACTGAAGGCTGAACTCTCAGCAGCTGAAAGAGACGGAGAGCAGTGATCCATGTTCTTTACTTATCTTTGTAACTTTTATTGACATATATATTGAGAAAAGTCCACAGCTCTCTAGTGTGCCATACAAGGAATTTTCCCAAACTGAACACCATCACGTAAATCAGCATCCAGATTGAGAAAAAGAACATTACCAGTATCCCCGAAGCTCTCAGGGTTCCTTCCCATCACACTTCCCCAAGGGTATTCTCTCTCCTGACTTTTCACAACACAGCTTCATTCTGCCTGCTTTTGAACTTTATACAAGCGGAAGTATTCAGTCTATATTCTGTATCTGGCTTCTGGCTTTTTTTTAACCTTATGTTTGTAGGGTTCACTCATGGTGTTCCACATGGTTTGTTCATTATTAATGATGAATGGCATTTTATTGTATGAATAAGCCACAATGATGTACCCATTCTACAGTCTAGAGACACCTTGGATCATTTCCAGTTGGGAGGTATAACAAATAGTGTGGTATAAACATTCTTGTACATCTCTTCTGGTGAATATATGTAAGCAATTCTGTTGGCTATTTTGGGGTCATGTCCTGTGCATTCATTCAGCTTTAGTAGAAATGATTGAACAGCTTTCTAAAATGGTTGTACCAACTCCTTGTTCTTTGAGGTAGACACCCTACAAATAACCAAAGTACCAGGAAAATGATGAGTTAATTTGGGGAGATACTGAATCTGAGATGACTGTGGAACAGCCAAGGAGAATTAAGAGAAAATTATTGGCTCCAGGGATCTGAGGCTCAGGAGGAGGATCTAGGCTGGAACCTTCTATTGGATCCTCCTCCAATAGAAGGAGCCCAAGGAAAGACGTGGTCATCAGCAAAAAGATGACAGAGGAAGTCAGGTCAGATGGAATGCCCAAGTATAGTATGAGGCATAAGAAGGGAAGAGGACCTGGTATTCAAGAGGAAAGCAGGGGCAGAGAAACTGGAGTAGGAGGGAGGCTAACAAGCACCTTTCCCACTAACAGAGAGCGGGGTGTCATATGGGAGAATTGGGTTCACTCTGTGCTCTTTGGAAACTGACAGAGTATTTAAGGAAATTGATTATGTTACATTCTCTGAAATTTAGATTGAACAAAACTTTCTCCAGACTGTGCATTTACTCTGGCTTCATTACTAATTCCCCTGGTTCTTTCCTGTACATTTGGTATAGGAAAGCACAATCCACAGAGAAGAAATAGCTTCTGGCATTCTTCCTTTTAACAATAATTCAAACACCTCATTAGATTGGAGTTGGCTTTAGATAGTGTTCCCTGTGACAGCTTGACTTACTGCAATGGGGTTCAGCATCTTTATTATACAGGCAGCTCTGAAACCTACCACCCCAACATTTCAGGCTGGTTTCTTTCTAACCTTGGTAAATTTCTCTATCAGGTTGCTGATGGAATCCATTTGTTCAGGCACTTAAATGGTGCATATCCTTCTACCTCAAAAGGCAGGGTGGCTGCCACCCATAAGATTGTTGTCTTCTGCAGGCTGCAATAATCAGATACATTTTAAAGAAAACAGATGTGTAATTACTGGGGCTGGCTTTTAGGCACCATGATGAAATTCAGTTCGTTTGAAGATCGAAGATTAATGAAATATGGTCCCTTCTTTCATGGGCTTGACAACTGAATGTGAGCAAGAGGACAAACACAATTAGCTCTAGTACAATGCAGAATGGTATAAATACTAAAGCAGAGTACAAGCAGCATGTTGTGAAGGGAAACAAGAGTCAGTGCTCCCTCTTTAATACTGACTGAGTGATTAGTACGAGCTTCCTAAGAAAGTAAAATTAGTTTTAAAAATGAGAGGAATTCTACCAATAGAAGGAGCCCAAGGAAGGAGGAAAGAGCATCAGAAAAATGCTAAGATGAAAAAGTAGACACTAGATATATTCCAAAAGAACCAGCATTTGGTGTTGTTAGAGCAATGGTTCTCAATCTCTCTCCCTTTTTTTTTTTTTTTTTGATGGAGTCTCACTGTGTTGCTCAGTCTGGAGTGCAGTGGCATGATCTCGGCTCACTTCAGCCTCCACCTCCCCAGTTCAAGCAATTCTCCTGACTCAGCCTCCCGAGTAGCTGGGATTACAGGCGAGCGCCACAACATTCAGCTAATTTTTTGTATTTTTAGTAGAGACAGTTTTTCACCATGTTGGCCAGGCTGGTCTCGAACTTCTGACCTCAGGTGATCCCCCCGGCCTCGACCTCCCAAAGTGCTGGGATTACAGGTGTGAGCCACTGCGCCTGGCCAACAGTGGTTCTTAAAAGTGTAGTCCCTAGATAAGCAACATCAGTGTCAACTGGGAACTTATTAGAAATGCAAAATTTCAAGGCTCCCTCTTAGACTCACAGAATCAGAAATGCTGGGCATAACGCCCAGAAACATGTGTTTCAACAAGACATCCAGGTGACTCTGAAGCACACTTAGATTTGAGAACCCCTGAAATAGAGGGTAATGTGCATGCAGTGATATGATGTGAGATGAGGCTGGAAAGACATGGTGAATCTGAATCATGGTGAGCTTAGAATGCAAGCACAGGGGTGGAATTTTGTTGTGTAAGCAACAGGGAGCCAATGTAGAATTTTGAGCAGAGGAGTAGCATGATCAGAACTGTGCTTTAGAAAGAAAACTCCAACAGCAGGTGGATAATGCATTGGCAAAAGGGGTAATGGGGCATAGGGAAATGACACTTAGAAGCCTATACTTGTGAAATACTTGTCAAAGAAAACATATACTCCAGTCCAAGGTGGCAAACATAAGAGTCATCATTATCTTTATGAGAGAATAATTCTTTAGTTAAGCAAATATTCACAATTTGGCTAATAGAAGATCCCAGATCATTGTACTTTTATACTAGCAAGAAAACAAATTGACGTTCAAGAATTTACTCAGTATCATATATTAAGTGTCATATATATTAACTCATATAATGTATGCATCAACCTTAATCTAAAAGGATTAGACACTTTCCAACACCATCCAGATAGGAAATAAGAAAGGGAGACCACAGGGAGCTAATAATCGAGTTGGACAGAAAAATATCCAACCCAGGACTATCATAAAACATTTTTTTTCTGGTACACCATGCTGCTAACATTGAGCCTGGCTTCAATTTTACTAGAGCCCATATCTATGAGAGTATGGAGACATGGAAAAATAGATCCAGTTCTCAGCTGCAATTTCCTCAGAACTCTTCCACTTATCTGCCACCCAGTTTACCACGCTCCCTTCAAAAAGAATCATGAACACTCCTTCTCTATTATGCCAGCCACACAGCTTTCTCGGCCTGTTCGTCTATTAAACCTTAACATATTGTACTCTTCCCACATTGAAATTGCCTATGCAAAGTTTCCTTTTTTAGTCATCTGGTGGTACTTTGGTGGCAGAGACATATAGGAATTGGAGATCATGCGGTTCAATCCCACCACCCTCTTTTTACATACATACAGGATAGAGACCAGCGAGGACAAGAAGTTACCCAAGGCATTTATAGAACTAAAATCAGTTATTTTTTGTTCAGAGCTCTTTCTACCTCACCACAATCTCTTTCGTGAAAATCTTCTTGCATCATCATTCAGCAGTAAGCTTCTGAAACAGCGGCTAACACATAGTAGGTAATCAATAAATATTTTCTTATTGAATGAAGTCTGAGTCGATGAATTCTAGTAAGTACTCTCCAGTGATATACTTCATCCATCCTCAACTCTTCCTTTTTTCCCAGTCTTCAAAGCTTAACTGATTCCTCCTCCTTGCAGCACACAAAAAGACAGTCATATCACCTACCCTTTAACTGATGTGACACCAAAAAGGACATAATTTCATTCTTTAAATTGAAAAATCACATGCAATTATTTCTATATAAAAAAACTATCTTTGCTTTGAATAACTATGGAGAATGTGAAGGGATTTCTATTATTTTTTTAAAAAGCAATTTTATTATTTATAAATGCCTATAGCAAAATACAACATGCTGTGATAAACAAGTGCCCTGGGATGTACATTGAGAAATACTGTGTATATCAATTTGATTATTTGTAAATAGATGTTTCCGAAGGGACTAAAAATGAAGTTTCCTTCAGGGAGATTAAACTTCTTTGTTGGCAGCAGCTTAAACAAATGTTTACACAGCTGCATTATTTGACCTACCAACATTCATTACATTAATCCATTAACTGGAATGTGCAGAAATAGTCTCAGTTATTCTCTTTTCTGGGGAAAAAAAGTGAGTTCTTCTCTAAGTCTCTTCTACTTAGAAAGCCTGGAAATGAGTTTGGATATTTCAGTGTGATTAGCATCTAATAAACAATAAGTTAAATGAGTTTTTCTTCGATGATTCAGGACTTTGTGGGACCACCACATCTTAATTTTGAATATATCTTGGCGTTTTCCAACTTTGTTTCCTTCTGGTCGTTCAATCAAACAATATTCCTGAGCCAGTGCTATGTGCCAGACCCTGGGCTGGAGACTGGAGAGCCAGCTGTGCTTCCTCCACCTCCTACACCCATGCATTGATTAGGTTCCTGATGGTCAGGATTTTCAATATAGAGCAAATGGGAGGTTGCTACTCTGACCACACCCTAAACAAAAACCAGTAGGAAGCTGGACTTGTTGGGGTGTCCTCTATTTGAAAAGCACTCATTTTAGATCAGCTTGGTTCACATTTACTGAAGATCTGTTAGGTTCTAGACCCAAGGCTAAACCCTGAAGACACAGAATACTAGACTTGTCCTCAAGGGGTTTAGTGAGGGATACAGATGAGTAAGTAGATGATTAACCCTGAGAGTGATAGGCAGAGAAGATATTAGGTCCCAAGGAGGTGCACCTAATCTAGATCAGAGAAGTCTGCAGACTTCCAGTCTGGGAGAAGGTCAGAGAAAGCTTCCTGGATGATATGGCAGGGAGGAGTGAGTTAGCTAGGCGCAAAGGGGAAAGGATGCATTCAGACAAAGCAAACTGCACAAAGACCTGAAATCTATTAAAGTAATTCTCCTTGGCCTTGCAAAAATGATGTTAAGGGGAGCAGCAGCAAGAATGAAGGCATCTCAGGTGTTCCCAGTACGGAAGACCTCCTTGCCATCCTAGAATTGGTCTATGCCAGCACAGCAGAAAGGGAGGAGGGCACCCTCTCCCAGGGTGTCAACAGTACTCAGGCTATTTTTTGCCTTTTGAAAAGCATACAGCTGGGACTACAATAGGAACTCGCTTTTTATTTTATGAATTTTAATGCAGATTTTCTCAAAGTGTAGTTTGAGACCCACATGCACCAGAATCTCATAGGCTACTTTTTAAAAACTTTAAAAAGTGATTTCCAACTTTTAAAGTGGCTTTAAGGTTTAAAAACTTTAAATAGTGGTTTCCACGGGCCACTGTACACCTGCTCAGTCAAAGCTCTAGGAGGGGGTACAATAGTTTAAATTTTCTACACGCATCCAGATAAGCACTGGCACATGAGCATTGGGAATCACTTTTAATGAGATTAAAGCAGGAATTCTCAACCTTAGATGAACATTAGAATAACCTGGGGAGCTTCTAAAACAAAGGAATTCCCAGGGCCCAATCCCAGATTTTCTACCACATGTGGTCTTGGTTAGGGGTGAACATTGGCATTTTTTTTCAAGCACCACAGGTAATTCTAATGTTTGGCTAAAGGTGCTCTGATGACCATTTGAGAGTAACATCGGAGATACCACACATCAAAATGTGTGGAACTTACTAAAAGCAGAGCTTTGGAGGAAAGTTTTGACAATAAACGCTTATACTAAAAATGAAAAAGCGTTTCAAATTAGTAATCTAAAATTTTATCTTAAAAAACTAGGAAAGTAAGCAAGACAAATCCGAAACAAGCAGATGAAGGGAAATAATAAATAGGAGAAATGAAGCAGAAAATAGAGACAACAGACAAAAATAGTGAAACCAATAAATGGTGGTTTGGCAAAGCCAGCCAGCAAAATTGATAGACCTATAGCCAGACTGCCCAAGGGAAAGAGAAAAAAAAGAAAAATTTCAAATTTTAGGAATGAAAGAGAAAACATCATTACAGACTGTACAAACCATTAAAATATAAAAGAATACTACAAACAATTCTATACCTTAATCTCAAAATTTTTGATGATATAGACAAATCCCTTAAAAGACGCAAATTGCCAAAAATTCATGAGAGAAAGGAAAGAAAGAGGGAGAGGGTCTATTTAGTACTTATTCTTTTTTTAAATTATACTTTAAGTTCTGGGGTACATGTGCAGAACGGGTAGATTTGTTACATACATATACATGTGCCATGGTGGTTTGCTGCACCCATCAACTTGTCACCTACATTAGGTATTTCTCCTAATGCCATCTCTCCCCTAGCCCCCCATCCCCCAACAGGCCCCAGTGTGTGATGTTCACCTCCCTGTGTCCAAGTGTTCTCATTGTTCAACTCCCACTTATGAGAGAGAACCTGCAGTGTTTGGTTTTCTGTTCCTGTATTAGTGTGCTGAGAATGATGGTTTCCAGCTTCATCCATGTCCCTGCAAATGACATGAACTCATCCTTTTTTATCGCTGCATAGTATACCACGTGTATATGTGCCACGTTGTCTTCATCTATTCTATCATTGAAGGGCATTTGGGTTGGTTCCATGTCTTTGCTATTGTGAACAGTGCTGCAATAAACATATGCCTGCACGTGTCTTTATAGTAGAATGATTTATAATCCTGTGAGTGTATACCCAGTAATGGGATTGCTGGGTCAAATGGTATTTCTAGTTCTAGATCCTTGAGGAATTGCCACACTGTCTTCCACAATGGTTGAACTAATTTACACTCCTAACAACAGTGTAAAAGCGTTCCTATTTTTCCACATCCTCTCCAGCATCTGTTGTTTCCTGACTTTTTAATGATTGCTGTTCTAACTGGTGTGAGATGGTATCTCATTGTGGTTTTTTATTTGCATTTATCTAATGACCAGTGATGATGAGCTTTTTTTAATATGTTTGTTGGCCACATAAATGTCTTCTTTTAGGAAGTGTCTGTTCATATCCTTTGCCCAATTTTTGATGGGGTTGTTTTTTTCTTGTAAATTTGTTTAAGTTCCTTGTAGATTCTGGATATTAGCCCTTTGTCAGATGGATAGATTGCAAAAAATTTCTCCCATTCTGTAGGTTGCCTGTTCACTCTAATGATAGCTTTTTTTGCTGTAGCATTTATTCTTAAAGAAAATAAATTATAATTTAAAAAAACAAAACAAATAAACAAAAGCCTCCTGGCTCAGGGGGCTTTACTTGTAAATTCTGCCAAGTATTTAAATAAGAAATACTTCCAATTCTATACAACCTCTCCTAGAATTACAATAAGAGACAATACTTCTGAACACATTTAATTGATGCAGGATTTTGTACTCCTTAGCTCAGCTAGATCTGGATTCTTGTCTCACAACCAGGAAAAATTAGGCACACAGACATAAAAGGGTGAGTGGAGTAGAATTTATGAAGCGAAAGGAAAGTTCTCAGCAAAGAGCAGGGTCCTGAAAGCAGGTTCCTGGTTGCCCCCTTCACAGTTGAATACAAAGGCTTTTATATAAAAGCTGATGGGGCTGGGTTCCCTATTTGTATAAGGTGCAAATTCCTGTTGGCTCCACCCCCTCCCCCCAGGGCGCACATGGGCCCTTAGTCTGCTGTGGGCACATTCAGGCAAGACCAATGTGCAAGTTGCCTTTTCTGCAAAAGACATCTGGTGTAAGCACTTGTGGGACTGGTCAGGAGATTCTCTGGGGACCCGCCCTTATCTGCCTGGGAGAGTTCTCTGCCTCCTGCCTCTATCATTTCCCGAGGTGCCTTTAACAGCCATTAGAATAGAGAGGAAGGCCAGTCTTAACTACTTCCTGCTGACAGGGGGCGCTGTTTTGGGAAAACGGCAATTAGGACTCCCTCAGAGGCCTATCTAAGGGTCCCTGGTAAAAAGGAGCCATCATTTGAGGCTCCAGTTACATAACTGTTTGGAGTTTGACAGCCTGAAGGTGAGAAAAGAAAAACTGGGTTATTAGAAGACATGCATCAAAACAAAACAAGTGGGGCTAAGGACAGATCAAAAATCCCAAGGCTGCCAACATACCCAGATAACTGGTGGCTATAGTTATGCCTGCTAAGATTTGGGTGCCTGGGGCTTGGCTTTGATTAGCTCCCTTGGTCTTATTTTCCCAAACAAAGAAACCTCCAGGTTATGGGCACCCTATTTACTCCCATCACCCAGCAGGATTTGCAGGATAATTACTCAGCATTAAAATATTGATCCAGATTTTTACAATACTCAACCCTTTTGTTTCTTCTGAGATGCAGCCAGAGATCACTGGTAAGTTCACAGGAATAAGCAGGGTTAGTCTAAAATGTAGGCAAAAACTTAAAAACAATGAATGAGATTAGAATTTAATGACAAATGTATGATAAGTTTTGAAACATAATTTTTCTCTCTCCAGTCCTCATTTTTGTCAAAAACAAATTATGATAGGACTGAGTTGTTTGCAAAATAAACTTTAGTCTCTTGGTTTGATTATTTGCATAAAGTGCAGCAAGAATTATTTTTCACATTGGCTTTTCAGTTGGCTTTGATGGAACTCTGTTCCACAAGGAATCCCAGATAAGACCTGTTAAAGCTGAGCCCAGCCAGGGGTTTGTACCCTCAAATACCTATGAGTTGTGTAAATTCCTCTCTTCTTGAGGTCCCAAGAATATGGGGCTCCTGGGCCTGTTAGTGACATTTTTTATTCATGACAGGTTAGGAACCCTGTGCAGGGACTGTGTAGACAAGGTATGAGGCCAGTTTTCCCAAAGGGCTCTTATTGGCTCTGCAGGTCAAGCTTGATTCCTTAAAGGGAAGCACAACCTTCCATTCAAAGCCCGAGTGAAATAATCAGTTTCTCCAATTGTGTCCTGTTGCAACAGAAAATGGATTCTTATTGCACTGATGAAAATAACTCTATTGCCATAAGTTAAGAATATTCACAAGCAAATGATTTCCAAATTCTGGAGAAGCCAGGCAGAGAAAAACAAATACGTTCCAAATTTTATTCACAGGAGTATATCTTAATCAATTGTTAAAGACTGTTTTCCTTGACTCTGAAAAACAAAACAAGGATCAGCAACACTTTAGGCAAAAAGGTTAAAAAGATTACTTCAGTTTTCTGTCAGTTCAGTCCATTCTGTTAACTGTTGTTCTGCTTAATATTCATGAACATTTCAGTTCTTCATGAGTCTTATATGTTTTTCCTTTATTCCAGTGTCAAAATCTCCAAAGTTATCAGAAACCTGCATTGAGAGCACATGTCAAAGTCCTATAGCTGATTATAAACCATCTTTTGAAAAAGGGTCAAAGCAAGACAACAATTGTCTGTGAAGGACAAAATATCCAGGGTAGTTACAGTCAAAACACAATTGACAATGAAATTTGCTTATTTCTGTGGTTTACAATAGTTTAACATAATAACCTTAATTATGATTGATAGCATATACTCAGACATTAGAATTTTAGACATCCCATAGAATTTTGGGACATAATATTATTTACTAAAATATAACCTAAAGAGATTGAATGTCACTTTGACAATCCCACATAACTAAACACATCAAATAATTCTGTTTACCTCTCTTTTTGAATATTCCAGGGGCCCTCTGTAGCATCCACAAGGTGAGGGTCAGAAAAGACAATTTTTGAAGCTGAAGTTTGATTTGGGGAAGCCTATTAAATATGTTAGAGGTTCAAAGCACTTGATATTATGAAATAAAATTCCAAATTACCATAATTTATTTTAGCCAAAATAGTGACTCAAAAATTTTTTAAAAGGCAAAAACCTTTCATTATTGTTTACTATTACATGAAAATATTGTTCCAGGGAGAAAAAGCCAGATTTTATGCTTGTATTAGTCTATTAATGTCAACCTCAATTTTTTTATGGATCAATAATTTTTTTATTTATTTTTATTTTTATTTTTTAAAATTTTACTTTAAGTTCCAAGATATATGTGTAGAATGTTCAGGTTTGTTACATAGATATACATGTGCCATGGTGGTCTGCTACACCTATTGACCTGTCCTCTAAGTTCCCTCCCCTCACCTCCACCCCCCAACAGGCCCCAGTGTGTGATGTTCTCCTCCCTGTGTCCATGTGTTCTCATTGTTCAACTCCCACTTATTAGTGAGAACATGTGGTATTTGGTTTTCTGTTGCTGTGTTAGTTTGCTAAGGATGACAGCTTCCAGCTTCATCCATGTCCCTGCAAAGGACATGATCTCATTCCTTTTTATGGCTGCATAGTATTCCATGGTGTATATGTGCCACATTTTCTGTATCCAGTCTGTTGTTGATGGGCATTTGGGTTGGCCATGTCTTTGCTATTGGAAACAGCGCTGCAGTAAACATATGTGTGTATGTATCTTTATAGTAAAATGATTTATATTTCTTTGAGTATATACCCAGTAATGAGATTGCTGGGTCACATGGTATTTCTGCTTCTAGATCCTTGAGGAATCACCATACCATTTTCCACAATGGTTGAACTAATTTACATTCCCACCAACAGTGTAAAAGCATTCCTATTTTTCCACAACCTCACCAACATCTACTGTTTCTTTACTTTTTAATAATTGCTATTCTGACTGGCATCAGATGGTGTCTCATTGTACTTTTGATTTGCATTTCTCTAATGATCAGTGACATTGAGCTTTTTTTCATATGTTCATTGGCCATGTAAATGTCTTCTTTTGAGAAGTGTCTGTTCATATCTTTTGCCCACTTTTTGATGGGGTCAACCCCAATTTTTTTAATGAAACATTATAGATAATTCTATCCAATCTTAATCATTTGACCATGAGGTAAGATTTTTATTAAACCTTTTATAACCCTTTATAAATTTCGGTTAATATGTTCACACACAGAGTTTCTTTTACAAGATTATTTTTACAAACCTTCCACCATTTGTTTAAACCTCTAGCTTTATCGTATCTAATTCAAAACAATCCTTTAATCATTGGGAGAAATTTACATTCCCATGCTTTCTAATAATCTTTTACTAAAAATGCATTTTACTTTCCTTACACATTTTGCATATAAAATCTATTTCCAGTAGTCTCAATTACATGTATAATGGCAACTCTTAGCAATTTTTAATTTTAGTGTAAAACCTGGTAAGTTATATTTTAATTATGTACTATGCACAGATAAGGTGTGACTCTTTCGAGCATAGTTAAGGGTGTGGTTAATTCCATATGTCCCCAGGCTTTACCAGTTGTGAAGCAGGCAAGTCAAACAGTTCTCAAAAGCCAAAGAAGTAGTTTATAACCTTAAAACATTTAGCAAACCTAGTATCTGACCCACATAATTTAGACCACATATTTACATTTTGAAGACATTTGTATTTTACCAACTATCTTCAAAACTGTTTTTATTCCTTAAAGTCACATTTAACTAAAAGGCATTACAGCTTTTATTTTTCATTCAAAAAAATTTTTATCTAAGCACTTATTTTTCTTCAGGCCAATCAATTAGAGTTATTTTTTATAACCATCTGCACATAATACATACATGATGATTACACAGACAAACAGAGAAGACCCCGTAGTTGTGAGACTTTTCATTTGCCAATCTCCTAATTGGATTAGGGTGGAACCTTTTATTTTTCCTTCAAAAAAATTTGATCTAAGCACTTATTTTTCTTCAGGCCAATCAATTAGAGCTCTTTTTTATACAACCATCCACACATAATACATATATGATGATTACACAGACAGACAGAAGAAGACCCCATAGTTGTAAGATTTTTCATTTGCCAATCTCCTAATTGGATTATTGGCATCAGGGTGGAGCCTTCCAAGAAACAGGGCTAGGAAAGTATGTGGTCTAACAGAGCCTAATAAGCAGAAACAGCTGGAAGACAGAAACAGATTCTGAGAGGGATCTATCCACTTTTAATTCCTGGGGTTCCTTGAGGAAAACAGAGGGTTTTTTACCAAAATGGGGTTTGTGGCTCCTTCTCTGCTTTTTCCCAGAAGTCTCAGGCTATCAGAAGTTATCTTAGGGCCTCTCATGCATGCACTAAGAGTGGCAAGACAAAACGGAGAAAAATAATTCAGTTGGCTGAGAAAAAAACACGAAAAGTTCTTTCTTTTTCCAGAAAAACAAGATCCAAGGAGAGAAAAACGTAAAGGCCTTTTTAAAATACCTATAGCTTAGCTATCCACTTTTAATTAAGCTAAGTGCTCTTTAAGAAAATCTTTTCAAATCCCTTATTACTTGACTTTAGCCATGCCAAGTGGCCAATATTTCTGGCCTTTGAACTTTACCAAAGTAACCTCACAAGAAGCCTCAACTAAAGTTACGGCTTAACTGCAAGTATACGAGGTATTTTCAAAGAGGTGGTAAGCAGTTTTTACAAAATCTAGAATCTTTAAAGGTGGTTCAGAGAAAGGAATATTTAATAAAGGAAGCTAGAAGTTGTTCATGGAGTGAAAGAGAATCAGCAAATGGTAAAAGTCACACAGATATTAACCAGAAAGTACTCGTTCTCTATGCCAAGATTGAAACCAGGCCACCATTGTTAAATAGCAGAGACCAAAACCAAGTGGTGGTTATAGGTTGCCACGTGGTTACAGGTCACACTCCCAAAGACATAAAACAAGATGGAGACCTGCAACAAAGTTTGTTACTGACCAGTTTGCTGGGCTGGCTTTGAACACTGGGCTTATAGAGTCCTAGGTCTGCATTCTATCCTAATGTATGCTTTATGACAAAATCATACACAAAGACCCAAAGCACACCAGATTGGGTACACCTTAAGACTAGCCTCACAAGTCCTTTTTCCATTAATGAACACCTTACAGAGGATATAAACAGTGATTTTATCATTCATTCAACCAGTTTGCACAGGGAGAGGGAGGCCAGAAGTCTGACTGGTAAAAACTTTTACCCTTTGGCTTGCATGTCAGGCTTCTGGGTTCCCTTCCACGAAGCTCAATTTTAAGCCTAGCAGTTTAAGGTTTGGGGAAGTCAACTTGCTCCAGTTTGGGGAATGCATCCGAGGGGAGTATCCTGTGGTATGAGAACACCACCACATATTCTGTGGTGTGAGGACAGAGGAGGAAAAAGGAAAAAGAGGGCATTTTTTTCAAAGGCGTCCCAGTGATTCAGGAGGCATTCAAGAGAAGCAGAGATTGAACATGATTGTTTACCCATCTAGAAAGAGGGGAACAGGCATCTGTAGTTCCTTTTCCTTCCTAGTAAATACCTGGGGTATGTAAGGGAGAGAAAGAAGAGGCATCCCTCTCTCCTTCTTCCATCCTTACATGCCTAAGTTCTGGCAACCTTGACAGGGTGCCACCTCTGGGTGTCAATGCAACTTTCACCCATGTTAACAGGGGGCCTCAGGGATGGGAATTACCCACCCTTACCCTTGCGTAGCTTGTCCCCCTGTTGTTAGTAAACTTTGAGTTCCCCAGACCTTGTCTATCCCATGGATGCTAGCATGACCTCTATCCATGAAACAGGAAATGGACGAATCCACAGGAATTAGTCATGCTAAGGTGAAGCTGTGGAGCTGGGTCCTCCTTGAACAAGGGAGTGAAAAGATGTCTTGTGAATTGGGGTCCTGGCCTAATGCCTTTCAAAAGTGAAAAAAAAAAAAAGTCTCTCATAGAAGTTAACACTTGACAGGATAGAGACTAGGAAAAAAAAAAAAAAAACCAGCTTAAGCGCGTGGGTGGGGAAGATGCCTAGGGAAAAAACTTCTTATGCAAATGGGTTCCTCCAACTGGGAGAGAACCTTTTAATTGCTGTTTCCTCCCTCCTGGCTTGGCCAAGCCAGGAGGGAGGAAACACTCCAATGGGCACGTGACAGGAGGGGACAGTGAGCGGGAAATGCTGGCTAGCTGGCCATGTGGGGCCCTTGGTCCCTGAGACTGCCCTGAGGCCTGGGCCTGGGCAGTGGTCATGGCTCATTCCCACCCCACGTGGCCATTGCATGTAGCACACACATGTGGCAGACATATGGCCATGCACCCTAGCCGGGAGGGGATAGAGGCAGGCAGCTGCTGCTCACCCGTCCATCCCCTGAACCAACCTGTGGCCACTGAAGTGGGAGTAGGGGACATGCTTCTAACAACAGATGGAAATTACATTATTCTAAATTGCACATCTGATGGCTGGGGCAAGGGCTCATTCTACCCAGTAACAGTTTGCATCAGCCTTCCTAACATTGTAAAAGAGGAGATAGGTGCCATGACCATCCCAAAAGAAGAAGAAATATGCCACAGAAAAGACTAGACTGGAACAAAGTCGACATTCCCAACTCCTGAGAGCAATAGGTGTGGAGAGGAGCCTCCTCTGTAGCTGTGCCACCATTCATTCTTAATTGGCTAATCAGAGGTTCAGTTTTTCCTCTACCTTCAGAAAAAGTCTGAGGACAAGAAGGCTGTGAAATGAAAGTAAAAGAGGTTTTGGGGGTCTGCATTTTACTCACCCTTCTTCAGGTGCCCATATGGGCCACCAAAATGATGCAGGATTTTTTTACTCCTTAGCTCAGCTAGATCAGGTTCTTGTCTCACAACCAGCAAAAATTAAGCATGCAGACATTGAAGGGTGAGTGGAGTAGAATTTATTAAGCAAAAGGAAAGCTCTCAGCAAAGAGCAGGGTCCTGAAAGCAGGTTCCCAGTTGCCCCCTTCACAGCTAAATTCAAGGGCTGTTATATAAAGGTTGATGGGGCTGGGTTCCCTATTTGTATAAGGCACAAATTCCTGGTGGCTCCACTCCCTCCCCACAGTGCACATGTGGGCCCTTAGTCTGCTGCAGGCACATTCAGGTAAGCCCCCTGTGCAAGTTCTACACAAAATCATCTGGTGTAAGCACTTGTGAGGTAGATTGGAGATTCTCCAGGGACCCTCCCCTATCTGTCTAGGAGAGTTCTCTGCCTCCTGCCTCTATCACTATGAGGCAAGCATTAACCTGATACCAAAACCATACAAAGACATTACAAGAAAACAGGACTACAGAAAAATATCCCACAGAAACATAGACACAAATATCCTCCACAAACTTTAGCAAATTGAAACTAATATATACAAAAAGGATAATATGTCATAATCAAGTAGGATACATGCCAGGTATTCAACTGACTCAACTTTCAAAAACCAATCAATATAATTCACCATAGGAATAGATTAAAGAGGGAAAAGCATATCATCATCTCAATAGATGCAGAAAAAGCCTTTGACTAAATTCAATATTCATTCATAATAAAAATTCTCAGGAAATTAGGAATAGAAAGGAACTTCAATCTGATAAAAGGCATTGTATTAGTCCATTTTCATACTGTTATGAAGATACTACCTGAGACTTGGTAATTTATAAACAAAAGAGGTTTAATTGACTCAGTTATGCATGGCTGGGGAGGCCTCAGAATACTTCCAATCATGGCAGAAGGGGAAGCAGGAACCTTCTTCACAGGGCGGCAGGAGAGAGTGAAGTGAGAGCACAGGAAAACATTGCCACTTTTTAAAACCATCAGATCTTGTGAGAACTCACTCACTATCATGAGAACAGCATGAGGGAAACTACTCCCATGATCCAATCACCTTCCTCCCTAGACAGGTGGGGATTACAGGTCCCTGCCTCAACCCATGAGAATTACAATTCAAGATGAGATTTGGGTGGGGACACAGAGCTAAATCATATCATTCTGCCCCTGGCCCCTCCCAAATCTCATGTCTTTTTTACATTTCAAAACAAATCATGCCTTTCCAACAGTCCCCCAAAGTCAAAAGTCCAACTCCAAAGTCTCATCTGAGTCAAGGCAAGTCCTTTCTGTCTAAAGCCTGTAAAATCAAAAGGAAGTTAGTTACTTCCAAGACACAATGGGGGTACAGGCATTGGATATATGTTCCCATTCCAAATGGGAGACATTAGCCAAAACAAAGGAGCTACAGGTGCTATGCAAGTTCAAGATCCAGTGGTGGCAGTCATTAAATCTTAAAGTTCTGAAATGATCTCTTTTGACTCTATGTCTCATATCTGTGTCATGCTTATGCAAGAGGTGGGCTCCCATGATCTCAGGCAGCTCCACTCCTGTGGCTTTGCAGGGTACAGCCCCCCTAACACCCTCTCCCTGGCTGCTTTCATGGGCTGGCATTAAGTGTCTGCAGCTTTTCCAGGCACATTGTGCAAGCTGTTGGTGGATCTGCCATTCTGGGCACTGGAGGATTGTGGCCCTTGTCTCACTGATTTACTAGGCAGTGCCCCAGTGGGGACTCTGTATGGGAGCTTCAACCCCACATTTCCCCTTTGCACTGCCCTAGCAGAGTTTCTCCATGAGGGTTTCACCCCTGCAGTAGACATCTGCCTGGACAGCTAGGCATTTCCATACATCCTCTGAAATCTAGAGAAAGGTTCCCACACCTCAATTCTTGACTTCTGTGCACCCACAGGCCCAACACCACATGGAAGCTGCCAAGGCTTGGGGCTTCCACTCTCTGAAGCAATGGCCCATGCTGTACCTTGGCCCCTTTTAGCCATGGCTGGAGCTAGAGCAGCTAGGACACGGCACCAAGTCCCAAGGCTGAACAGAGCAGGGGAGCCCTGAGCCTGGCCCAGGAAACCATTTTTCCTCCTAGGCCCCTGGGCCTGTAATGGGAGTGGCTGCTATGAAGATCTCTGACATGCCCTGAAGACATTTCCCCATTGTCTTGGCTATTAACATTCGGCTCCTTATTACTTATGCAAATTTATGCAGCCAGCTTGAATTTCTCCCCAGAAAATGGTTTTTCTCTTTTCTACCACATGGTCAGGAGTTCCACATGGCTGGGGAGGCCTTAGGAAACATGCAATCATGGAGGAAGGGGAAGCAGGCATGAGAAAGCATGTGAACACTTATAAAACCATCAGATCTTGTGATAATTCAGTCACTATCATGGGAACAGCATGGGGGAACCACCCCCATGATCCAATCACCTCCTTCCCTTGACATGTGGCTATTACAGGTCCCTTCCTCAACAGGTGGGAATTACAATTCAGGATGAGATTTGGGTGGGGATACACAGCCAAACCGTATCAGGCATCCACATAAAACATACGCTAACATCACACTTAATTTTGAAAAACTGAATCTTGCTGCTAAGATTGGGAACAAGACCAGGATATATGCTCTCATGAATCCTATTCATCACCATCTTCAAGGTTGTAGTAGTATAACAAGGCAATAGCAGAAAAAAAAATGTTTGGACAAGAACAAATAAAACTGTTTTAATCACAGACAACAAAGAAACCCCTACAAACCCACACACAAAGAAAGCTACTACAATTAGTAAGGCCATGGGATATAAAGTAATATATAAAATCAGTTGTATCCCTACACACTGCAATGAAAATTAGAAATTGTGTTGTTTTTGAAAGTTTCATTTACATTACTACTAAAAGCATAAAATGTTTAGTTACAAATCTAACAGAATATTGCAAGATATACAGGCTGAAAACTACAAAGCATGAATGAAACCAAGTGAATCTAATTAAATAGAGTGATATACCATGCACATACATTGAAAGAGTCAATATTATTAAGATGTCAACTCCCCAAAATCAATCTCTAGATTCAGTGGAATGTCAATCAAAATCCCAGCAGGATTTCATGGACATGCTGATTCTAAAATTTGTATGGAAAGATGAGGCAACTAAAATAATCAAAACACTTTAAAAAACAATAAAGAACTAAGTTGGAGTTCTCACCATACCTGGTTTCCAGAATTACTATAAAGCACAGTAATCAAAATAGTGAGGTACCTGCACAAAGATGGACATATAGGTAAACAGAACAGAATAGTCAGTCCCGCATAAACCTGCACATATATGATCAACTGATTTTTGACAAAGGCGTAAAAGGTTATTCAATGGAGAAAGGATTGTATTTTCACCAAACACCACTGGAACAATTAGATACCCACTTGCAAATATATATATATATATATATATATATATATATATATATATATATATATATAGTTTCTGATGACTTTGACAGGTAGTAATAGAGGATATATATATTTATATATTATATATAAGTAATTATATATTCATATATTATAATTTTTGTATAGGTTTTTTGAGGTAGGAATAAAGGACATATATATATGCACATATATATATACACATATATATGAGGTAGGGATAGAGGACATACATATATGTGTATATGTATCCAGTAAGGGCAGTCATTAAATCTTAAAACTCCAAAATGATCTCCTTTGACTCCATGTCTCACATCTGGGTCACACTGATACAAGAGATGGGCTCCCACAGTTTTGGGCAGCTATGCCTCTGTGGCTTTGCAGAGTACAGCCCCCAGCCTCCACCCCCTGCACCCTGGCTGCTTTCACAGGCTGGCATTAAGTGTCTCATATATATGTATATGTGTGTGTGTGTGTGTATCCTCTCTTTCTACCTTACAAAACCTATACAAAAATTAACTCAATATGAATCATATACCTAAATGTAAAACCTAAATTATAAAACTTCTAGGAGAAAATCTTTTTGACTTTGGATTAGGTAAAGAGTCCTTAGATACACCATCGAAAGCACAATCCATAAAAGAAAAATTGATAAATTAGACTTCATAAAAATTAAGAATTTATACTCTTCAAAAGACTGTTAAGAGAATGAAAAAGTAAACCACCGATTGTGAGAAAAAGTTTCAAGCTGTATATAAAACAAATATATATTCAAAATATATTTTCCAAATTCTGTCGAACTTCAAGAAAACCAGCAACCCAATTAGAAAACCAGTAATGAGCAAAAGATGAGCAGAAACTTTACTGAGAAGATATAGTATTAATTATATACAATTACTAATAAAAATAAAATAAAATAAACTTACCATATCAAGTGCTACTGAGGATATAGAGCAAACAAAACATTCATACATTGTTGGAGGGGATGCAAAATGATATAACCATTTTGGAAAGCAGTTTTTCAGGATTTTTTAACTGATAAATTTTATTTTTTAGAATGGTTTTAGGTTTACAGGGAAACCGAGCAGATAGTAGAGAGTTCTATCTATCCCTGCAGTTAATTTCCCCTATTATTAATATATTACATTAGTAAGGTACAGTTGCTACAATTAATCAACCAACACTGACAGGTTATTATCAACTAAAGTCTATAGCTTATTCAGATTTGCTTATTTTGTACCTACTGATCTTTTCTGTCTCAAGATCCCATCTAGGATACCACGTAATGTAAAGCCATCATGTCTCCTTAAGCTCGTCTTGGCTAGGTCAGTTTCTCAGGCTTCCCTTGTTTCTGATGCTTGACAGCTTTGATGAGTACAGATTAGATATTTTGTAGGATATCTCTCTATTGCAGTTTGCCTCTTTGTTGGAGATGATTTGGTTATGGGTTTTTGCAGGGAAGATCAAAGAGGTAAAAGTGCCATTTTCATCACATCATATCAAGAGTACATATAATCAACATGATTTTTGGCTGTTGATGTTGACCTTGATCACCTGCCTATGGTAGTGTTTGTCAGATTTCTCACCTTTAAAGTTAATCTTCTGTCCACTTCCCACCCCTTTCCATACTGTACACTTTAGAAGGAAGTCACTATGTTAAACCTATACTGAAGGAGTGGGGAATTACGCTCCCCCTTTTTTGTGGTGAAATACTTAAATAATTTATTTGGAATTCCTATGCATGGGAGATTCATCTCTTCTTCACCATTCGTTAATTTATTCAATCATGTATTTATGTCAGTATGGACACATGGATAGCTCTTTTGTAATTCGGGTTACAATCCAATACCGCTTTCTTTTCTTTGTTTCTCAAATTGTTCCTGCTTTGGCCATTAGGAAGTCTTTCAGTGGCCCTTGTGGCCCTTTGATATGTCCCCATCAATGGGCTTTTTTGTTTTTATTTAATTTTTGATACTGCAAGATGCTCCAAGTTCATTTTATATATTTCCTGCCCTAGTCCTAGAATCAGCCATTTCTCCAAAAATCCCTGTTTCCTTTTATTGGAGAATGAGGTATTAGAAACTAAGATTTGAGCACTAGGTAGTAAGGTTTTGTATAAAGTTAAATACACATTTACCATACAACACAGCAATCCACTCTTGGGCATTTACCCGAGTGAAATGAATCAAATGTTCATATGAAAACGTGTACGTAAATGTTTACAGCAGCTTTTTTTGTAATTGTCCAAATATGATCAGATTTATACAAAACCCAAATCAAATGTACCTCATCTAGGGAATAAATATAGTTCATTTATACAATGGGATACTACTTAGCAATAACAATGAATAAACTGGTTATACACAGAACAACATGTATCAATCATAAATGCAATAGTGTAAGAAGCCAGAACCAAAAGTCTGCGTACTGTATGTATTAATCCATTCTCACACTGCTATAAAGAAATACATGAGACTGGGTAAATATCAAAGAAAAGAGGTTTAATTGGTTCACAGTTCTGCAGGCTGTGCAGGAATCACAATGCTGCCATCTGCTCAGCTTCTAGGGAGGCCTCAGGAAACTTACAATTATGACAGAAAGTGAAGGGAGAGCAGGCAAATCACATGGCCAGAGCAGGAGTAAGAGAGAGACAGAGGGAGGTGCCACACACTCTTAAACAACCAGATCTCAAGATGGCCGATTAGGAACATTTCCAGTCTACAGCTCTCAGCATGAGCCACGCAGAAGATGAATGATTTCTGCATTTCCAACTGAGGTACCGGGTTATTCTCATGGGGGAGTGCCAGATAGTGGATGCAGGACAGTGGGTGCAGTGCACTGAGCATGAGCCGAAGCAGGGTGAGGCATCGCCTCACCTGGGAAGAACAAGGGGTCAGGGAATTCCCCTTCCTAGCCAAAGAAAAGGGTGACGGACGGCACCTGGAAAAATCGGGCCATTGCTGAGGCTTGAGTAGGTAAACAAAGCAACCGGGAAGCTCGAACTGGGTGGAGCCCACCACAGCTCAAGGAGGCCTGCCTGCCTCTGTAGACTCCACCTCTGGGGGCAGGGCATAACCAAACAAAAGGCAGTAGAAACCTCTGCAGACTTAAATGTCCCTGTCTGACAGCTTTGAAGAGAGTAGTGGTTCTCCCAGCACGCAGCTTAAGGTCTGACAACGGACAGACTGCCTCCTCAGGTGGGTCTCTGATCCCTGAGTAGCCCAACTGGGAGGCACCCGCCAGTAGGGGCAGACTGACACCTCACACGGCCGGGTACTCCTCTGAGACAAAACTTCCAGAGGAATGATCAGGCAGCCACATTTGCTGTTCACCAACATTCACTGTTCTGCAGCCTTCGCTGCTGATACCCAGGCAAACAGGGTCTGGAGTGGACCTCTGGCAAACTCCAACAGACCTGCAGCTGAGGGTCCTGACTGTTAGATGGAAAACTAACAAACAGAAAGGACATCCACACCAAAACCCCATCTGTACGTCACCATCATCAAAGACCAAAGGTAGATAAAACCACAAAGATGGGGAAAAAACAGAGCAGAAAAACTGAAAATTCTAAAAATCAGAGCGCCTCTCCTCCTCCAAAGGAACGCAGCTCCTCACCAGCAACAGAACAAAGCAGGACAGAGAATGACTTTGATGACTTGAGAGAAGAAGGCTTCAAACAACCAAACTTCTCCAAGCTAAAGGAGGAAGTTTGAACCCATGGCGAAGAAGTAAGAAACCTTGAAAAAAGATTAGACGAATGGCTAACTAGAATAACCAATGCAGAGAAGTCCTCAAAGGACCTGATGGAGCTGAAAACCATGGCATGAGATCTACGTAATGAATGCACAAGCCTCAGTAGCCAATTTCATCAACGGGAAGAAAGGGTATAAGTGATGGAAGATCAAATGAATGAAGTGAGAAGAGAAGTTTAGAGAAAAAAGAATGAAAAGAAATGAACAAAGCCTCCAAGAAATATGGGACTATGTGAAAAGACCAAATCTACATCTGATTGGTGTACCTGAAAGTGACGGGGAGAATGGAACCAACTTGGAAACCACTCTGCGGGATATTATCCAGGAGAACTTCCCCAATCTAGCAAGGCAGGCCAACATTCAAATTCAGGAAATACAGACAATGCCACAAAGATACTCCTCAAGAAGAGCAACTCCAAGACACATAATTGTCAGATTCACCAAAATTTAAATGAAGGAAAAAATGTTAAGGGCAGCCAGAGAGAAAGGTTGAGTTACCTACAAAGGGAAGCCCATCAGACTAACAGCTGATCTCTCGGCAGAAACTCTACAAGCCAGAAGAGAATGGGGGCCAATATTCAACATTCTTAAACAAAAGAATTTTCAACCCAGAATTTCGTATCCAGCCAAACTAAGCTTCATAAGTGAAGGAGAGAAAAAAATCCTTTACAGACAAGCAAATGCTGAGAGATTTTGTCACCACCAGGCCTGCCCTACAAGAGCTCCTGAAGGAAGCACTAAACATGGAAAGGAACAACTAGTACCAGCCACTGCAAAAACATGCCAAATTGTAAAGACCATCAATTCTAGGAAGAAACTGCATCAACTAATGAGCAAAATAACCAGCTAACATCATAATGACAGGATCAAATTCACATATAACAATATTAACCTTAAATATAAATGGGCTAAATGCTCCAATTAAAAGACACAGACCGGCAAATCGGATAAAGAGTCAAGACCCATCAGTGTGCTGTATTCAGGAAACCCACCTCATGTGCAGAGACACACATAGGCTCAAAATAAAGGGATGGAGGAAGATCTACCAAGAAAATGGAAAACAAAAAAACACAGGGGTTGCAATCCTAGTCTCTGATAAAACAGACTTTAAAACAACAAAGATCAAAAGAGACAAAGAAGGCCATTAAATCATGGTAAAGGGATCAATTCAACAAGAAGAGCTAACTATCTTAAATATATATGCACCCAATACAGGAGCACCCATATTCATAAAGCAAGTCCTTGGAGACCTACAAAGAGACTTAGACTCCCACACAATAATAATGGGAGACTTTAACACCCCACTGTCAACATTAGACAGATCAACGACACAGAAAGTTAACAAGGATATCCAGGAATTGAACTCAGATCTGCACCAAGCGGACCTAATAGACATCTACAGAACTCGCCACCCCAAATCAACAGAATATACATTCTTCTCAGCACCACACCTCTTACAAAATTGACCACATAGTTGGAAGAAAAGCACTCCTCAGCAAATGTAAAAGAACAGAAATTATAACAAACTGTCTCTCAGACCACAGTGCAATCAAACTAGAACTCAGGATTAAGAAATTCACTCAAAACCACTCAACTACATGAAACTGAACAACCTGCTCCTGAATGACTACTGGGTACATAACGAAATGAAGGCAGAAATAAAGATGTTCTTTGAAACCAATGAGAACAAAGACAAAACATACCGGAATCTCTGGGACACATTTAAAGCAGTGTGTAGAGGGAAATTTACAGCACTAAATGCCCACAAGAGAAAGCAGGAAACATCTAAAACTGACATCCTAACATCACAATTAAAAGAACTAGAGAAGCAAAAGCAAACACATTCAAAAGCTAGCAGAAGGCAAGAAATAACTAAGATCAGAGAAGAACTGAAGGAGATAGAGACACAAAAAAAACCCTTCAAAAAATCAATGAATCCAGGAGCTGGTTTTTTGAAAAGATCAACAAAATTGATAGAAAGCTAGCAAGACTAATAAAGAAGAAAAGAGAGAAGAATCAAATAGACACAATAAAAAATGACAAAGGGGATATCACCACCCATCCCACAGAAATACAAACTACCATCAGAGAATACTATAAACACCTCTACGCAAATAAACTAGAAAATCTAGAAGAAATGCATAAATTCCCGGACACATACACCCTCCCAGGACTAAACCAAGAAGAAGCTGAATCCCTGAATAGACCAATAACAGGCTCTGAAATTGAGGCAATAATTAATAGCCTACCAACCAAAAAAAGTCCAGGACCAGATGGATTCACAGCCGAATTCTACCAGAGGTACAAAGAGGAGCTGGTACCGTTCCTTCTGAAACTATTCCAATCAATAGAAAAAGAGGGAATCCTCCCTAACTCATTTTATGAAGCCAGAATCATCCTGACACCAAAGCCTGGCAGAGACACAACAAAAATTGGTCTAAAAGAGAATTTTAGACCAATATCCCTAATGAACATCAATGAAAAAATCCTCAATAAAATACTGGCAAACCGAATCCAGCAGCACATCAAAAAGCTTATCCACCATGATCAAGTGGGCTTCATCCCTGGGATGCAAGGCTGGTTCAACATACGCAAATCAATAAACGCAATCCAGCATATAAACAGAACCAAAGACAAAAACCACATGATTATCTCAATAGATACAGAAAAGGCCTTTGACAAAATTCAACAACCTTCATGCTAAAAACTCTCAATAAATTAGGTATTGATGGGACATATCTATGACAAACCCACAGCCAATATCATACTGAATGGGCAAAAACTGGAAGCATTCCCTTTGAAAACTGGCACAAGACAGGGATGCCCTTTCTCACCACTCCTATTCAACATAGTGTTGGAAGTTCTGGCCAGGGCAATCAGGCAGGAGAAGGAAATAAAGGGTATTCAATTAGGAAAAGAGGAAGTCAAATTGTCCCTGTTTGCAGATGACATGATTGCATATTTAGAAAACCCCATCATCTCAGCCCAAAATCTCCTTAAGCTGATAAGCAACTTCAGCAAAGTCTCAGGATACAAAATCAATGTGCAAAAATCACAAGCATTCTTATACAACAATAACAGACAAACAGAGAGCCAAATCATGAGTGAACTCCCATTCACAATTGCTTCAAAGAGAATAAAATACCTAGGAACCCAACTTACAAGGGATGTGAAGGACCTCTTCAAGGAGAACTACAAACCACTGCTCAAGGAAATAAAAGAGGATACAAACAAATGGAAGAACATTCCATGCTCATGGGTAGGAAGAATCAATATCGTGAAAATGCCATACTGCCCAAGGTAATTTATAGATTCAATGCCATCCCCATCAAGCTACCAATGACTTTCTTCACAGAATTGGAAAAAACTACTTTAAAGTTCATATGGAATCAAAAAAGAGCCCACATTGCCAAGTCAATTCTAAGCCCGAAGAACAAAGCTGGAGGCATCACGCTACCTGACTTCAAACTATACTATAGGGCTACAGTAACCAAAACAGCATGGTACTGGTACCAAAACAGAGATATAGATCAATGGAACAGAACAGAGCCCTCAGAAATAATGCCACATATCTACAACTATCTGATCTTTGACAAACCTGAGAAAAACAAGCAATGGGGAAAGGATTCCCTATTTAATAAATGGTGCTGGGAAAACTGGCTAGCCATATGTAGAAAGCTGATCTGCATCAGGATCCCTTCCTTACACCTTATACAAAAATTAATTCAAGATGGATTAAAGACTTAAATGTTAGACCTAAAACCATAAAAACCCTAGAAGAAAACCTAGGCATTACCATTCAGGACATAGGCATGGGCAAGGACTTCCTGTCTAAAACACCAAAAGCAATGGCAACAAAAGCCAAAATTGACAAATGGGATCTAATTAAACTAAAGAGCTTCTGCACAGCAAAAGAAACTACCATCAGAGTGAACAGGCAACCTACAGAATGGGAGAACATTTTTGCAACCTACTCATCTGACAAAGGGCTAATATCTAGAATCTACAATGAACTCAAACAGATTTACAAGAAAAAAACAAACAACCCCATCAACAAGTGGGTGAAGGATATGAACAGACACTTCTCAAAAGAAGACATTTATGCAGCCAAAAGACACATGAAAAAATGCTCATCATCCCTGGCCATCAGAGAAATACAAATCAAAACCACAATGAGATACCATCTCACACCAGTTACAATGGCAATCATTAAAAAGTTCAGGAAACCATAGGTGCTGGAGACAATGTGGAGAAATAGGAACACTTTTACACTGTTGGTGGGACTGTAAACTAGTTCAACCATTGTGGAAGTCAGTGTGGTGATTCCTCAGGGATCTAGATCTAGAAATACCATTTGACCCAGCCATCCTATTACTGGGTATATACCCAAAGGACTAGAAGTCATGCTGCTATAAAGACACATGCACATGTATGTTTATTGCGGCACTATTCACAATAGCAAAGACTTGGAAACAACCCAAATGTCCAACAATGATAGACTGGATTAAGAAAATGTGGCACATATACACCATGGAATACTATGCAGCCATAAAAAGTGATGAGTTCATGTCCTTTGTAGGGACATGGATGAAGCTGGAAACCATCATTCTCAGCAAACTATCGCAAGGACAAAAAACCAAACAACACATGTTCTCACTCATAGGTGGGAATTGAACAATGAGAACACGTGGACACAGGAAGGGGAACATCACACGCCAGGGCCTGTTGTGGGGTTGGGGGAGGGGGGAGGGATAGCATTAGGAGATATACCTAATGTTAAATGACGAGTTAATGGGTGCAGCACATCAACATGGCACATGTATACATATGTAACAAACCCACACGTTGTGCACACGTACCCTAAAACTTAAAGTATAATTAAAAAGAAAAAAACAAAACAGATCTCAGGAGAACTCACTCAGTATCATGAGGACAGCACCAAGGGGGATGGTGCTAAACCATTCATGAGAAATCCTCCCCCATGAAAACAATCACCTCCTACCAAGTCCCACATGCAACATTGGGGATTAGGAGTGAACATGAGATTGGGTGGGGACACAGATCCAAACCACATCACTGTATAATTCCATTTATATGAAATTCTTGCAAAAACAAAACTTTAGGAACAGCCAACAGATCAGCAGTTTCCAGAATCTGGGATTTGAGGATGGTTGAATACAGAGGGCCGCAGGGGAGTTTGAGAGGATGATGAAATTGTTCTATATCTTGACCGTGGCAGAGGTTACTTGACTGTATACATTCGTCAAACTCATATTCATGAATCTCACAACCTTTTGTATACTGAAAAGGAGTGAATTTTACTGTATGTAAATTACATCTTAATTTAAAAGTGTAATAAAAACTGTAAAGCAACTATATATTAACATATAATGCTTGTGATACAAAGGCAAGTGGGGGAAAACATATAGTATGTTCCCAACTACTGAAATGTATAAAGGCACAGATGAAGGGGAAAAATTTTAACACAATTTTAACAATTATCTTTTTGTATAGAAATATGGATACAATTATTTCTTGTTATTAGCATTTTTCATATAATTTTATAAAGATAAAAGCTATCTTGCTTAAAGGAAAACTATAAAGTTGTATATAAATGTTAGGAACTTTTTTAAGTGACCATCTCTTTTCTTGTGGCTCCTTGTGTCTAATTCACCTGTGTGCCTCATGCCTTTCATACGCCATGCAGCATAGAGCAGACGTGTAGAAAGCAGTAAAAAGCCCTTATAATACAGGCAGTTTCACTCAGGAATGCCTGTCAGCTGAAAATCTCTTCATTGGGCTGAAACTGATGCTCTTCCCTTTCATTCTGTCCCTGACCTTCAGTGATCTTTCCTCTTCTGACTGGGCATACACCCATCTTCATTTAGCCACTGATGAAATCGGGCTATCTCCTGGTTGTGACCACAAGCATGGGGCAGCAGATGGAAGAGTGTGGTGTCCTCTTTTACAGCTTATTCATTAAATCATGGGAAACTGGCCCAAGCTTAATATTTCACCAGTAGAGATTAGTTGAGTATGAATTTGCATTTCTTCCTTGGGGATCAGTGTTTAATAGTACATGTATATATATATATATATATTTGAGATAAAGTCTTGCTCTGTCACCTAGGCTGGAGTGCAGCAGTGCCATCTTGGCTCACTGCAACCTCCACCTTCCAGGCTTAAGAGATTCTCCTGTCTCAGCCTCCCAAGTAGCTGGGACTACAGGTGCCCACCACCACTGCCGGCTAATTTTTGTATTTTTAGTAGAGACAGGGTTTCACCATGTTGGCCAGGCTGGTTTCGAACTCCTGACCTCAAGTGATTCCCCCCCACCTTCGCCTCCCAAAGTGCTGGGATTACAGGCATAAGCCACTGTGCCCAGTCTTCATAGTATATTTTAATATCCAACCTTGAGGTGATCCATATGTATCTGTTAAATGGAACTAAAAGAGAACTCATTTATTCTCATCACCCCCAGGCAGGTCCTGGTGGGAGCTTCTGAATGGGAGATCTGTATATTTCCTGATACATCACCAACCCCGGGCACCTTCTGCTCTACTCTACTTTTCCATTATTCACTGCCAGCAAATATGTGTTAGACATCTACTAGGAGAAGAAATAGGACTGGGTCCTAAGGAAGCTACAGAATGAATAAAGTAGTTGCTGGCCACCGAAGCTCATGGTTTGGTAGGGATATAGACACACAGCTATACACATATACACAAACACAAAATTAGCAACAAAATGTGTTGTATGGATGAGAACCACAGATAAATGCTATAGAAGTGCTGAGGGGTGGTAACCCCAAAGTTGGGCACTCAGAGTAGGAACTTATTAATAGGTCAAGGCACAGGAGAATGGAATTTGGAAAGCCTTAATGTGAGGCTAAGAAGTTCTGACTTGTCTTTTGGACTTAGAAAGGCACTGGAAATTTTTGAGCAGGCTCATGAGCAGAGTTATAATTTAGAAATGCTATTTCAGCAGCCAGGGCTGAATGGATTAGATAGATATAGAAATGAACATTTCAGTAGAAGGACTAAAAGATGAAATTGAAGAAATCTCTCAGAAAATAATACTTTAAAATTAAAAAAAAAAACAAAGGAGAGTGAGATCATAGCATGAAGAGAGAACTTCAGTAGCAAAGGGGAGACAAGATTCTGCCATTTTTTGGGAATTGCATGTACTCTGTGTTAGGCTGTTCTTCCATTGCTATAAGAAAACACTGGAGGTTGGGTAATTTATAAATAAAAGTCATTTAATTGGCTCACAGTTCTGCAGGCTGTACAAGCAGCACGGTGCTGGCATATGCTCGGCTTCTCAGGAGGCCTCAGGAAGCTTACAATCATGGTGGAATGTGAAGAGGGAGCAGACGTCTCACGTGGCAAGAGCGGGAGCAAGAGAGAGTGAAGGGGGTGGTGCTATATACTTTTAAACAACCAGATCTCACAAGAACTCATTCACTATTGCAAGTACAGCACCAAGGGGATGGTTCTAAACCATTCATAAGAAATCTGCCCCCGTGATTGAATCACCTTCCAGCAGGCCCCACCTCCAACCTTGAGGATTACGTTTCAACATGATATTTGAAGTGGACAACATCCTAACCACATCACACTCCTATATGGCTAGAGGGCAGAGTAAATTCAGGAGATATGGGACATAAGACCTGCTAAGTATTTGGAGGCTGGTTACAAAGGAATTCAGGTATCGCAAAAATAAATTTGGACAATTCAGTGAGTTAATAGGGAGCTATTAGAGGCTTTAGGGCCAGGACAGGGGTGGGCCACAGCTGGAACTGAGCTTTAGGAAGGTCAATTCTAAGCAGATGCAAGATGAACAGGAACATGACTGTGAACTTCTCACAACCTGGCAGATATTGTCATAGCCCTGAGAAGGATGATGGGCCTCCTGCATTTTCAGCCTGGCCCTAAGACTTTCTGCTTTCTGTAGTTGCCCATAAATCATGTTTGACTGGCAAAGCCAGCCCTCATCCCACATGCATATAGTCTGGCTCTTTATGAGACAGGGAGTCATATCTGACAACCATCAAGCTGGAAGGAGCTCATGGGCTCAGCAAAGCCCAATAATCTACCCATGGTGATCAAATCCAGCCTCTCTCCTCCCAGAGGCTGACTCTGCCTGACTCAGACTACTGAATTGAAAGAATGCAATTTTTTGCCTATGATGAACCCAAACAAATCCCCTTAAAAATAATTCATTGAGGAGTAAGGAAAATAGAATGCAGTCATCCTTTACTTTCTAAAGTCTTTGGGTTTGAGGAGAATGGCTAAAGGATGCAAATTCTCTTAATCACAGCAGGCATTCATTTGCCAGCAGTGTTTTGAGTACCTACTCTGCAATATATTCTTCCCAATGAAGGATTTGGGTGTATATAAGCTTTCGGTTGAATCCATCTAAAAAGCAAAGAATCTTCTCCCAATTTCTCTGTTTCCTAAGTTTGAGTTTTTGCATGTTCAAGTGTTAATTTTAAGTGACAAAATATGTGCAAGGCCTGCCTAATGTAAACTATAAAACATTACTGAGAGAATAAAAGGTGACCTAGATAAATGGAGAGATACACTGTGTTCCTGGATCAGAAGACTCAATATTATTAAGATGTCAACTCTCTCCATATTGACCTATAGGTTAAATGCAATCCCAATCAAAATCCCAACGAGGTTTTGTTTGTCAAAATTGACAAGCTGATTCTAAATGTATAGGATAATATAAAAGTTGTACATAGTCATATCAACCTTGAAAAAAAGAACAAAGTTGTGGCACTTATCCTATCTGCTTTCAAGAATTACTATAAAGCTACAGTTATTCAGACAGTAATAGTATCTTAAATAAAGTGTGATATTGGCATAAATACAGCCATATTTAGCAATAGAACAGAATAAAGGGTCCAAAAACAGAGCCACAAATGACACAGGCAAAGTCAAATAAGATACAGTTTCTACTTTCAAGAGGTTCAGAGTCTACATGGAGATTCTCAGCAAGTTAAAAATTACAATTCAGTGTGACACATACTACTAGAGCCCAGATACAGGGTCTCCAGCCCACCTGAGGAGATGGATCTACAAAGTTTCCCTAGGGGAGGTATTGTCTGGGCTGAATGCTGAAAGATTAATCAGAGTTTGCACGATGAAGAGGTGAGAGTCATTGGTAGAAACATATGGGGAGGAGCAGAGACACAGATGAGCATGAGACAGCCTGGTCTCCACACAGACCTGGAGAACGGTGCATGCCGGAGTGTGGAGAGGCAGGAGAACGGAGAGGAAAACCAGCAGCCACATTGTGACAAGCTTTATGTACTAAGACAAAGGGTTGGAATTCATTCCACAGGTGATCAAAAGCCATTGAAAACTTATACACAGGGCTGTGACATGGTCATTTTTGTGTTCTGAAATGTCATTCCACTAGAAGGATAAAAAAAACAACAAAGGTAAATTAGGATTGGAGGTAGCAAGACCAGTCAGGATGCTATTGAAATATTCCAGTTGGGACATAGTGGAGCCTTAACCTACCCTAAACCTTAACCTAAGTGAGCATATGATATATTAGAGGGATGTGTGAAAGGCATAATCAGGAGGAATTGATAACTTATTAGATGTGTGGTGGAGAAAACATAGGAAATGACTTACAGGGTTTTATTTTCTTGCCTCTTTTTTTCTATCATATGTAACCTAAATTATCTGGTTTACATTTAAAAGTGAAAACAAAGCCCTCTTTGAGTAGGTGACCCCATACAAGCACAGAAGCTAGTAAATCTACAGGGTACTACGCTCACCACCACCTGGGTGACTGATTGACTGATTCAATCATACTCCAAACCTCGACATCACTCAACATACCCATGTAACACATCTGTACATGTACCCTCTGATTCTAAAAGTTGAAAGAAAATAAAAGAATCTGGAACTGAGATTTAGGAAGGTCAATTCTAAGCAGATGCAAGATGAACAGTAACATGACTGTGAACTTCTCACAACCTGGCAGGTATTGGCACAGCCCTGAGAAAAACGTCGTGGTGCACTTCACTCACAGCACTGCAATATCTCCTACTGTGTCCAGTTCATATTCATTTGCCTGCAGGGAATTCTTAGATCCTGCCCACCAAGTGTGTAACGGAGTATTTACCCAGCAAAGGCGCAGAATGTGATTCTGGAATTGTGCTTGGCCTCAATGGGGGTTAAAATGAAAACACTCTGAGCCAGTAAAAGGAGACATCAGCACACCTCAATCCAAGCTTCCATTTTTTCCTTTCCTAGTAAAGCTGTAAGGCCCTTACTGGTCTGCAAATGATTTATCTGTTTCAAGTCCTGCCAAACTTTGGACCAGCTCTCTCCAGACACTAGACTATAAATGGCTGAAGAAATAACAGGAAAGAAGCAGAGTTGAAAGGCCAGTGGGCAACTGGTTTTCTTTAGCTCTGTCTGAACTGAATAATCAGCCAACTGGGGTCAGCCCAGTCATGTGAATCCCACCTTTTGTTACTCAGGGAGACAACTCATGTGACCTCATCTCAGAGCAGTCACTGGGACTGGCAACGTTCTCAAGAGTCTTAAGCCCCACCGCATATATTCCTAAGAGCCACCAAGACTACTGTTTATTTCTTCATAAGCCACAAAGAACATTCCACTGTACAAAGTCAGCTTATTACAAGTTTTTTTAAGAAAGGAAAAAAAAAGGAGGAAAACCTGGATAATCTCTCATTGGCCTGATCCCATTCTGTTGCAGAAGGAGGAAGGAATGCAGTGTGTGGCTGCTCAAGTGACCCCTGAGAAGCTGGATCCTGGCTGCTCCAGAGGAGGAGCCATCTGTTTATAGGACTGGGTGGTGCCATGGGTAGGGTCAGGCGACAAAACAAACAGCTACAGTAGTTTCTTTCCAAAATCACTGCCTCGCCTACTTTTTGCTATCTGATACTACTGAGATGCCTATTTTCGGAATCAAAAGCACAGACAGCCTTTCTGGAAGCACCTGTTTACCTACTCAAAATAGAACAGAAATAGCCTCAAAACCCCTCCTCTTGCTGTCCTGAAGGAACATGTGAGTCAGACAGAGTTGGGTTGGGACCAGTTCCCAGTGGGGACTGTGGGGAAGAGGCTCTATCGCAGTCATCTGGGCTTTTTCAAACTATACCTCCTATCCCAATTAAAGGGCTATGGCTACTTCCCTCACCACCTTTTGAGAACTCCTGCTGTTGTAAGCCACCAGTTGATGTTGGCATAACCTTCATGTATGCATAGTGGGTGAAGGGGCTCCGAATAGCACTCACTGGCAGGGCAGCAGTTGGAGAAGGCTGCCTGTAGGCTGAAGTCTGATACCCATCTTCTGTGGTCTGAATATAGTTTGTTTGCCCCTACCAAGACTCATGGTGAAGTCTGATCCCCAGTGTTAGAGATAGGGCTTGGTAGGAGGTGTTTGGGTCATGAGGATGGATCCCTCATGAATGGCTTGGTGCCATCCTCACAGTAGTCAATGAGTTCTTGCTCTATTAGTTTCCATAAGAACTGGTTGTTGAAAAGAGCAGGTAATGCCTACTTCTTTTTGCCTTCCCCCATGAGTGGAAGCTTCCTGAGGCCCTCACCAGAAACAGATGCTTATGCCATGACAGGCTGCAGAGCCACGAGCCAAATAAATCTCTATTATTTATGAATTACCCAGCCTCAGATATTCATTAATAGCAGAACAAATGAACTAAGATCCCATCCCTGAAAGAGGTGAGGCAAAATTATAAACCCGATGCGGAATACAAAGCAGAAAATTAAATCAGGACTCAGCAGGCTGTTGGCAAGTAAGAGCTCCAATCACCAAATTAAAACAGAGCAAGAACCAATTACAAAGCCCTATGTTGTTGTGTTAGTCAGTTTGGGCTGCTATTACAAAAATGGGTGGATTAAACAACAGAAATGTATTTCTCAAAGTTCTAGAGGCTGGGAAGTCCAAGATCAGGTGCCAGCATGGTCAGTTCTGGTGAGGGCCCTCTTCCTGGTTTGCAGATGGCCATCTTTTTGCTGAGTCCTCACATGGCAGAGAGCAGAGAGAGAAGCAGCAACCTTTCTCCTATCTCTTCTTATAAGGTCACTAATACTATTGTGAGGACTCCACCCTTATAACCTAATCACCTCCCAAAGGCTCCATCTCCTAATATCATCCCACTAGGGGTTAGGCCTTAAACATACAAATTTGAAAGGGACATAAACATGCAGTCCAAACAGTTACATAGTATACCAGAGATATTTATTGCTTAACAAAATCTATGTGCTTTCTTAAATTTCCAAAACCCCTTGCAGTTAGCAAAGGCCACGTAAACTAGTTCTAGCCAATGGGGAGTGAGCAGAAATGATGTGTGTCATTTCCAAGTGAAAGCACTTAAGAGATGAGGCTCACCCTCCAGCTCACTCTCCCTCTGCTAGGTAACCTGAAAGCCCACATGCTGTGGCTACAGGATGCACGAAACTGAGCTCTTTAAGTTACTGCTTGAAAGAAAATTATCCTACAGTGCTGCCAGACTCATGAGTGAGAAATAAACTTTATGTGTTAAGCCACTGATATTTGAGGGTTGGTTTGTTACTGCACTAAATCCTAGATTAGCCTGACTAACAGAGATAACAAGCAAGAAGTCAAGGCAGAGACTTAGGCCTGGAATTGTCACAAAATAGCTTCTGTCACTGAATCAAGGTAAAGCAAGAATCCAGCAAGAAACAGAGTGAGGTCAGAGCAGTACTGAAGCCAGCTTGCCTGAGAACAGAACCCCTGAGCCCCTCACTTTGCTTCCACCTTGGGACTGGGCTGCTCTGAGACCCTAGGACAGGTATGAGCTGGGGATGGGGCTGAGTGGCCTCTAGGACTATAAAATTAAAAATTTGGATTTGGTGAGCTCTAAAACACTTTACAGGTTAGACTATCTTGTATAGGACTTGTGTGAGAGCATAGGAAGAACCTGCAAGACCACTGAACAGACAGAATCTGCACTAGAAATAATATATGAGAAGTCTGAATACTCAAGTCAGAGAGTTTCCAAAAATTTTGACTGTGCTTATTTATCCAGTTATCAAAAGCGCAATAACACCACCGGTTCTTCAAAGGTATTATATACTCAAAATATTTCTCCCTTTTTATCTCTGGGTAAGATGTAGAAAATTCACCTGATAAGCTGGCCAACTTTGAAAACAATCATTCTTAACACATACTCAAAGGAAGACACCTTGAGGAAGCATGAGCTCTTATTATATCAGATAATTGGCTTCAGATATCAGCTTATCTGCACTGAATGAGAATTATGTCTCCAAGAGTTTCTATACTTATCAACTACTAAGCTCGTCTTCAGAGATGCTTAACTATAAAATATATCACCTCTGTAAACTATTATGCACTATTGATTTTTTTCTGCCTATGTAAAAGTTTCCCATTTCCCTGTCACTTGCTGATCATCCTGTTCGTTTTTATATACCTAATATCTGAGTAGTTCAAAGGCCTCACATTGAATTTGGTTTATGTTCCTCAAAAGGAACATTCTGCCTTTTATTAAAGGAGATTGCCTGTGAAAATATAGCAAGGATGGCTCTTCTAAATGATCTACTACCAAATTCAATTCACATTCTACCTTGTACCTTATCACTCTTTAAAATCATTGTACAATGCAGGATAGTGAAAAGAACGTGGGTTTTGTTTCAGACAAATCTAGTTATTAATTCTCAGCTCAGAAATTCCTTGGCTATATGAACCTCAACGTGATATTTAAGCACTTTCAGCCTCCAGAAAAATGGCATGCCAATGTCTTACAGAATTTTAATAAAAATTATGTGCCTACCATACATAAGGTGCTCAAAATAGTATTTATTATTATAGAATGTTAGAGCTGAAAGCACCTTAGAGCTTATCTAGTCTGACTCCTTATCTTACAGAGGTAGAAATAGGGACTTGCTTAGATTACTTGAGGGTTTAAGGATCTCTTCGAATTTCACTACAGTGTTGCAGTTGCCCCTTCTACTCCTCTGCCCCAGTTTTCATCAAAGACATCCTAATTTATAATTCCAGTGGAGGTGTTTTCCTTGATATTTTGCTAGACCTCGCTGCTGCATTCATTGGCTGAGTATTTCTAAAAACTCTGCTCTCAGGGCTCTCAGGACCTCTCACTTTATTGAAATGCCAGGTCTATCTGATAACATCTTTGTCTCCTTAATTCTGGTGTGCTACAGGGTTTTATCCTGGGCCACTGTCTTTCATACTCCTGTATAGTTACACTCCTGTTTTCTATAACTCCTATGATAATAACTGGCAAATTTGGACCTCCATCCCAGAGCTCTTACCCCAAGCTCTGGACAGTCAGCTCTGACTAGCTGCTCAACCATCTACCTGGAGCTCCCTCAGCCCCTTCATGTTCAACAGCACTGAAAGTTAATTCATTAGACTACCCCCAGGTCCATGTATTTTTCCTCTTATAGGCTCTTCTTCAGTAAAAGGCACCTCCAACCATCCAAACACTCAATCAAGAAACTTAGGACTCATTTTTTAATTCTCTCTTTCCATGCCCTGCTCCTGTACTAAGTATTTCCAAAATCCATTCCCTTTTGTGCACCAACACTACCCTTGCTCTAGTTTAGGTCTTCATTGTCTCTCCTTGGAATTGCTTCTGCATCCATCTTAAGTGGTCTCCCTGCTTCTGAATATATACCCCTCATACCCATCATCCACAGCAAGCAGAATAAATTGTCTAAAACAATGCTACTTAAAGTATGGGCGTTAGACAAGTGGATAGTTTCCAGACATAACAAAATAAGAAGCTTCTGCCAGAATGAAAAACCACATCACTTATCTTGCTCTTTAAGTTTAGTAGACTTTTGTTTTTTAATCTCAAGATTTACTCAAGGAAAGACGCAGAGCGTTGATTTACATTCTGGCACAAGCTTCTTACATCATCACACATCAGCATGTGGAATGGGACCCAACTCAAAAAGTCCAGGTCCCCAGCATGGCATTGTAAGACCCTCTGTCATCTGCCACCTGCCTCCCTCTCCAGCCCCTTCTGTACCCACGATCAACCTTATCCCTTCTGTTCCAGCCACACCAACCTTCTTATTGCCCTCTCCTTCTCCCTACCCACAACCACTTTCCCGCAGCCAAGCCCACATTTGCAAGAAACAGAAAATGATGCATTTCTCCAGGAAGCCTGTCACCATTAGCATCCCTTTCTTACTGCCTGCTCTACTTGCATTGCACATTATACATTTCATTTGCTATATTGATCATATTGTTTTATAATCATTTATTTAAATGTTTCTCTCACACAAAATAGTAACTCCTTAAAGACAGGATCTGTATCTTATTCATCTCTATTAGTCAGAGTACATAATGTAGTTGCTGAAGTCACAAATAAGTCCTGAAATCTCAGTAGCTTAACAAAATTAAAGCTCACTTCCTCATCACACAAAGTCCCATCCAGAAGTATCTCAGAAGATAGTTATCCCAGATGGCTCACTGCCATGTGAGAATTCAGGAGCCCAACTGTTTGATCTAATGATGGTGCTAACACGTAAGGCCTGAAACTCCTTTTCTGGATCTACTGCTTTCAGCTGGCCATGATGAACGAGGAAGAAAAGTTAAGGTCATGCAAGGAGTCAGACCTGAAAATGGCCCTTATTACAACTGCTCAAATCCATTAGCCAGAACCTAGTCTCATGGTCTCATCTGACTGCAGGTGAGCTAAGAAATATAGTTTAGCCATGTGCCCGAGAGGAAAAGGAAACTTCCATATGAGCAGCCAGCTGTGCCTAAGCCACATCATGCCTGAATTTCCAGCATTTATCACAGTATCAGACATAATGCTGCAGGTTCTCAATACATAACTTCTTTGGTGAATAAATGGCTGTGTTCTCACTTTTAGGCAAGTCTTTATTCCTCAATAGACTAGGTCCAGAATGGAAGATGGGTATTGATTGAATGAAGGAAAGAAGAAGTTTGGGAGAATGGGAGCTATGAGAGCCAGTGACAGGCAGAAAAGTGGAGAATGGCAAGTGAAACATCTTGAGGAGGGACTTCAGGAAGCCATGCTTGGTCTCAAGAGGCCTCCGCTCCACTTTCTTTGCCATTACAGGCAACAACTCAACTGCTTGATAAAGAACTTTCAAAATCCCTCCCTCATTAATCTTTCTATTTACATTTTTCATTTCTAGCAGCTTAAACTTGAAAAGTAAAGAGTCTTGCATTCCATTTCTAATGACCCCACATTTTTTTCTGTGTGCTTCAGTTCTCTGGGAAAATCTTTAAAGGTTACTCTTAAACTAAAGTAACTTTCCCACTTTTTCACTTAAACCATTCCCTCAAAATCTCTGGATCTCAACTTTATATGGCGCTCTTTAAACAAAACATAAATTCAGGGCTTGAACAGCTTAACAAGCGTCCCTTTAAAGGAGTAGCATTTAATAGTAAGAGCCATTTAAAAAAAATAGTAAGGGCCATTAAATAATCAATCCAAAGTTCAGGATGGTATTAATAGAACACGATGTGAGATGGATCAAAAACACCTCACACTCTTGGGGTATGAAACAACCCACTTTAAACACTTACATGGAAATACTCAAGTCCTGTTCTCAGAAGGTGGATCAAAGTGTTTCATTCAGCCTGACCCCTCTTTGAAGGGAATTATGACTTTAAGCTCTTTGTAACCTAATGAATGTAACATAATGAAACATCCAACCAAATAATGCCCATTAGATAGTTTTGTAGAAGCAGAGACATTTTAATTAAAAAACTCCTAGTTTTGTGGAAATCCAGGCTGTTAAAGCTACAGGGCATAGAATCTACTCTCTAGTTACAAAGTTCACCAGAGTTAAGCTAGTCCAGCCAGCCACCCCACACGCAAATCCCTATTCTTTCCCTAACCACTTTCACACTTCGGCTTCAGGCTTAGAGGACAGATCTTCATCTTTAACACTACATCTTGTCTGACTTTTTATTTCATCAGAGGCTTAGGAAACAAAGACTTGGACTACAATGTTTGCCTCCAGCCCATATGGCTCAGCCTACATGGCGCATCAGGGTGAGATCTCTCATGACACCTGAGGTCTGCTCTGCTCTCTGAGAGGCAACATTAAATAGTCATTTCTGCACACAATTCATTAATACATTGGCTTCTTTGGAAATTAGTTGAATACTGATTACGTGCAGGGGCACTGGCTAGCATCCCTGATTATTGCTAAAAAGCAGAAGGCACACGTTAATGAGCTTAGGATCTAATAAGTATAAAAGGCATAGACACCAATAATTGAATTTCAAAAATATTTACTGGACACCTGTTCATACCAAATAATGTACTAAGCCTTTGCAATGAAAGTTACATGAGAAAGAGTCAGGTTCACACAAATAATAATAACTGTGTGAATGAAATCTGTATAAATAAAAGCACTAGGGAGGTATATATGATGGTAATGGTAGTGGTAGTAATAAATGATAACAAAAATAATAAAAATTAACACTTACTGAGTTATTGTGTGCTTAAAGGAAACTTTCTTGATTACTTTATTGTCATAGTAAATAAGTATTCATATTATTATTATCTCTATTATACAACTGAGGGAATTAAAGCAGAGAGATTAAGTGACTTGCCCAAGTTTTCAGCATTAAGTGGTGGAGACAGGATCCACACTTGGCATTCTGACTCCAGAACTGTGTTATGAATGTTTGAGATGTAACTGGAAATGGAATCAGTGACATCTCCATGGGGGAGATGACATTTCATTAACTCTCAAAGATAAGTATAGAAAAATGAAAGAAGAAGAAAGTCAAGTTTCTCAGGGAGGGAAACAGTGTGTGCAAAGACACAGAGACATAAAAGAACATGTCACGTTCAGGCACTGGCCAGTTAGAGCTCCCTGGAGCACAGAGATAGGGTACCTGCAAGGGAAAAATGTAGAAAGATTAAGTGGAAGAAGAGGTGGGTAGAATTCCACGTGCTGCCATGTTTAGGAGCATGAACGTCACCTTGCAGGCAATGAGAAGGTTTGCCGATTATGGGGCCCGGGAAGGGATCTCTATCAGAAGCACTGGCCTCCCTGCCAAGCTTTTGCAGTCCCTTTCTCACTCCTGCCCAGCTGCTGATCATATTTGATTCAGCATTTGATCAGTTCCCTCCTCTCTGTACCATGGGACTCAACTCTCATTCTTTAAGAGTTTGTGGGAAACAGTCACCATCTCAAATATCTGCTCCTTTTAAGCAAGTTGAAAAAGTTTACTTTTAACTGAAATTCACCAGAATAATGAAAACAACTGCACTTGAAAAATTACTGTATAAAGCACCTTTAAAATAAAACAAATTCAGGGCCTAAGCTATCTGACTGAGCCTCTTGAAAGGAATGATATTTATCTTTTAAAAAAGGAAATAGTATTTAATGACTACAAGTACTTAGAAACACAATCCAAATTTCAGAATGTGAATACTACATATGCCAGGCAAAGTTAAAGTCCCACCTGCAGCTGATGAACAATTCATTGCCAGCTTTTTCCTGTCATGGGTGTCATGTTTTTCTGGACCCAGTATGCCATCTCCAGAGCCCAAGATATGGAATCACTCCACTGTTCTTACCATATGTGGATCTACAGTGCCTGGTTTCAGAGACTCTCATCAGTCCCTGCTGCCTCTGTATCGTGATTTTTACAGATCTGGGAGGCTGCCACTCAAATGGTCATCAGGCATTTCCATATCAGTCAGATCAAGCATGGGATACAATTGTTCTTCAATCTCTAGGAAAACAAGTGGGAGGGAGTGGCCGCTGTGTCATCGCCTGGTAAACTAAGGGGATGAAGAGGGGCAGTTTGCCACAGGGGAGCAGTCTGCCCCTGGTGCTAACAATATGGGGGTCCTTTGTTGTACAGAATTTAAAAACAATAATAAAATCAAGTATTCTCCTATGCTGCAAATTCTGAACAAAGACAGTGATGAAACCAGGCTCCCCATCAAAGTGGGCCACATGCACCGCTGGCCCTGATCCTTGGTGTGTCACAAATTCCTCCAGTGACTGGCTGGATTTCCCGTGGGACAAGGCTGCTGCTTTGGCCACTTTAGGTGGCATTCCATGTGGACTGAAGGCAGAGATTATCAAAGCATCCAGGAGAACATCCCTGTTCTCCACCTTCTCCTGAGAAATCTTCCCCTTAACTCCTCAAGTGAGAGTCAGTGTCCTTCACTGCATTACGAAAGAATGTAACAAAGTACTTCGGATGGGGAGTGGGGAGGTGTCATCTCATCATTCAGATGGGCAAATGGCCCAGACCCATTAGCCTGTGCATGTGTGTCAGACTCGAATAAAGGGGGGACGTGGTCCCTATCATTCCACAGGGTTTTAAACAAGGAAGTAGCATGATCACATTTGTGTTTCGCAGAAGTTGTTCTGCTGGTTGGTAGTAGAGGGTGCACTGAGCAAGAATCTGTAGGGATGTGATGCAAAATAAGATGAGATTATTTGGCTGGATAGACAAAAAAAATCACGTAAAATATTCCACGATGCTCTTCATCTGTAATCCCATTAAAGCTGTGAGCCACAAGGTCCAGTCCATGAAGAATGCTACCTGGAGGTCAACCTCCAAAAGACATTTTTAAAATAATTCCATTTGGTGTTTATGTCCTAACTCCCAAACTTTATTCTCTTCACAACTTTTTCATACTCTTCTCTCTCTAATGCTTTTCATTTGCAAATAGCCCCTAGAAAAATCTCCTCTTGCACCCCATTTATACTCTGCTCCAATTCCTGCCTCCACTCCTCATCCTCTGCCACAGATTTTTAGTGTGAAGAAAAACTTTTAGGAAGCAGACTGGTAGGCGGGTGGAACATTTGACTGCCAATTACAGATTCTCTTTAGCAGAGGAAAAGTCTGAACACTCCCAGGTTGATGATTTTTATTCTATCACACATCCTTAATTAAGTGCTGGCTAGCAGAAAAAGTAAGTGTCATAGGAATTCTGAGAAGTATCAATGCAAATGAAAATACTTAGCAACTTGCTCTTATTTCTACTTTAAGGAAATTCTTCTGAGCTAGAAACACTTCGTATTTATATTACACACACAATATAGAGTCACTTTATTTCTGCTGGTCTGAATGCTCAAATATTAAATAATTTCTTATTTTCTGTGCTAGACTATAATCATAAAAATGTCAAATTGTCTTAATAACAGCAAAAACAAATACAGTATTAAGACTAAATAAAAATATATTTGTATAATTTTGTCATACATTATTTTGTTTATTACAGAAGGTGACTGGAATCGTTCTTATTTACAGATAAAGAAAGTGAGGTATTAAGAAACTGGGTTAAGGTCACTGGACTGGAAAAGTGATAGAGCTGGAATAGCAACATAGGTCTTCAAAGCCAAATTTTCAGCTCTATGGACTCAGAGAACTTTACAGATGTGGTTTCCTATATGCCATTCATCTGGTCTTGATTCACACACTAGGAAAACGTTCATTAAGTACTGACCGCAAGACATCAGCAACAGCAGAGGGTTTCAATGGATGCTCTTTTCATTAAGGGGCCCAGATACCTAATCACGAGACTGGCTTCAGGTTGTTAATCCACTGTCATCCTTTACTCATCTTTTTGTCTTCTGTCTTGATGACACAAAAGGCCTTTGCAAATGTAAGTTTTTCTATGAAGAATAGAAAAAGGGGGCTATACAGCCTTCCTAAAACTTTACAAGGGAATTCCTGAGAAAAACAGAAAAATAAGCAATACTTAAACTGGCTACTCCTCTGAGGATTTACCGATAAATGATCCTACTGGCTCGAACACCCAGATGCAGCCCAGAACCACTAATGTCTATTCTTTAACTCAACACTTACAAAAGCTTGAGTAGTTTAAATAAAGAACAAAACATGCTGCATTTAAAACCTCACTTCAGGGGATGCAGAATGGAGAACAGGCTGCTTTAAATCTTTAGAACTGAGCTGGGACACAAAACCCACAACAAGAAGTTTGTCAGGTGCATCCTCATTTGTCTGTGGCAAGAAGCAGCCAACTGAGAACAGGAAGTAATTTTCAATTAGCCAGCCACACAAAACATGCCCGAGCCTTCTTAGCAATAATCACTCAAAAGTAAATACTATTTGCCTTAATGGGCAAGATGTCTTCAGAGCTTATTTGGAATCAAAGCTATTGTATAGCAATGCGACCACATCCCCATGGGTGAAAGTGCCCCTCACCCACCGGAGCACTCAGCTGCTGAGATCCAGGACCCTTGTGGCCTTGGTTCAGAAGAGTAAGGGCTTCAGTAGCTCACTGGCAGAGAAGATGCCAGGGTAAGCGAGGGAGAGATTAAGGGCAGGCAGAAATGGAAAGAAAGCAAATACATTCATTCCAAGAAAACCCCATTCCCCAGGCAACACTCAATAATGGATTAAAGGGGGCAAAGGAGTTACAGAGAGTTAGAAAGTCAACTCCAAATAGATCAAATATCAACACCATGCTCCCTCGGAGCTCCTCCTCTGCCTCAATCCCCAGAGCAAAGTAAACCATCATTCAAACCATCATCTGCCTCTGCTCACTGACTTCATCAGAGTATGTCTAAGCAGAACCACCTTTAAAAAGAAAAAATATATATAAACTCCCTGCAGGGTTGCCATGCCAAAACCAACAACTCCACGGTGAACATGGCTGGTCACACCACTGCAGGGTGTCAAATTGAGCAAAGTACTGCTTATGGACAAAACGAAGCAGCAGTTTCTTTCCTCTTGTCCCTTTTGAATCTCATCTCTGATTTCTGTTTCAGGAATATAGCTTGGCACTCTAAAAGAGGTGCTACTGTTGGAGCCTAGTCAGAATTCAAATAATTCGGGGAAAACTGTTCATCTTTATATGGTAACGTTACGGAGTTGATGTCATTGCTTTCATTCCACGACCTTAACATAAAGTTCTGTGTTTTATCTGGTCAATTTGGAATTGTTAAAAGTACATGTATTAGTTGATTTTCATGCTGCTGATAAAGACATACCCGAGACCGGGTGATTTACTTGAAAAAAAAGGAGGTTTAAGGGACTCAGAGTTCCACGTGGCTGGGGAGGCCTCACAATCATGGCATCATGGCTGAAGGCAAAGGCACGTCTTACATGGCAGCAGATAAGAGAGAATGTGGCCAGGCACAGTGGCTCACGCCTGTAATTCCAGCACTTTGGGAGGCAGAGGTGGTCAGATAACTCGAGGTCAGGAGTTCGAGACAAGCCTGACCAACATGGTGAAATGTTTTCTCTACTAAAAATACAAAAAATTAGCTGGGCGTGCTGGCACACGCCTCTAATCCCAGCTGCTCAGGAAGCTGAGACAGGAGAACTGCTTGAACCCAGGAGGCAGAGGTTGCAGTGAGCTGAGATCACACCATTGCACCCCAGACTGGGCGACAGAGAGAGACTCCATCTCAAAAAAAAAAAAAGAAGAACAAATAGAGAGAGAATGAGATGCAAGTGAAAGGATGTGCGCGCACACACACACACATATATACACACCCTCTACAGTCACCCCTCTGGGATGCACACACATACACACACACTCCCTCTGCAGTCAGCTCTCCTGGATGTACACACACATACAAACACACACACATGCCCTTTGTAGTCATCTCTCCTGGATGCACACACATGCACACATACACACACACACACACACACACACACACGTTGTAAAAACATCATGTCTTGTGAGACTTATTCACTACCACAAAAGCAGTATAGGGGAAACTGCCCATGATTCAATTATCTCCCACTGGGTCCCTCCCACAACACTTGGGAATTATAGGAGCTACAATTCAAAATGAGATTTGGGTAGGGACATAGCCAAACCCTATCAGTGCAATAGAGCAAAAGAAAACAGGGTAAGGAGACCAGAGCAGTCCCCTGCCCCATGTGACTCAGAGGCTGGCACTTTCCATTCCTAGCCAAATATATTTGAGATCAAACTTCTAAACAATATGCTTATCATGAATTCCTGATTATTTGTCATTTTTAGACATTATCTATTGAGTTTTTATAGAGAATGAAAACTTGATCTTAAACCAGACCAATACCAGATGGTCATTCATGTGCTCACACATGTGCACACGTGCACACACACTTTCCCCATCTTTTTAATGTTCGATCACATTTTCAGTTAAATTAACTACTGCCATTATTAGGACTATGAGAATGTTCTTTACAGCAGAGACATGGAGACACCATGGTCACATTCCTTTCTCACAGAAATGTACATATTTTCTGGAAATAATAACGGGTTTAATTTTTTAAATGCACCTATCATACAACTTTCCCCCAAGTGCTCCAACCATGAGGTAATATTTCTCTCAATGTCATATGCATCAGGTAGTCTATCAGTTTCCTTTCACACAAGCATGCACACACACACACACCCTCTGCAGTCATCTCTCCTGGATGCACACACACATGCACACACACACACCCTCTGCAGTCATCTCTCCTGGATGCACACACACACACACCCTCTGCAGTCATCTCTCCTGGATGCACGCACACACGCACACACACACACCCTCTGCAGTCATCTCTCTTGGATGCACACACACACACACACACACCCTCTGCAGTCATCTCTCCTGGATGCACACACACACGCACACACACACACCCTCTGCAGTCATCTCTCCTGGATGCACACACACACGCACACACACACACCCTCTGCAGTCATCTCTCCTGGATGCGCATGCACACACA